>NC_000006.12:104464729-104616244 GCF_000001405.40 Homo sapiens | reverse complement strand
CTATTATCTCACTGTATGGGTCAGGAATCCAGATGTGGCTTAGTGAGGTACACCTGCCTGTTTCTCTCATGAGGCTGGAAATGCAGTGTCATCTAAAGTTAAACTGGGAGAAGATCCACTTCCAAACTCACTTATGTGATTGTTTGATGGGATTCAGTCTGATATGGTTTGGCTGTGTCCCCACCCATATCTCACCTTGAATTGTAATAATCCCCATGTGTCAAGGGGTGGGGCCAGGTGGAGATAATTGAATCATGGGGGTGGTTTCCCTCATACTGTTCTTGTGATAGTGAATACGTCTCCGTAGATCTGATGGTTTTATAAATGGGAGTTCCCTTGCACAAGCTCTCTTGCCTGCCACCATGTAAGATGTGTTCTTTGCTTCTCCTTTGCCTTTCGCCATGATTGTGAGGCCTCCCCAGCCATGTGGAACTGTGAGTCTGTTAAACCTCTTTCCTTTATAAATTACCCAGTCTTGGGTATGTCTTTATTAGCAGCATGAGAACAGACTAATATACAGTCATCCCTCAATTTCTTGCCACATGGGCCTCTCCGGAAGGCAGCTCGTAGCATGGCATCTGACTTCTCTGAGAAAAGTCACATTTTCTGTCTTTTATTTATTGAATCTGTCTCTAGGTCTAACCCACACTTAGGAAAGACAATTACATAAGGGAATATACCAGGAGGAGGGGATCACTGGGGGTCATCTTAGGCTGACCACTGCGGTATTCTACAGCTTGTCCTATTTCAAACGAAAATTGAACTATTAATTTACATAAATTATCTATGTAAAAGTCACTAATTAAGAAAGTGTCATGTCTGAAGTAAGGTTATTGGGGGGAAATATGGCTAAATCTAGTAGAGTATGCACTTATAATTGTGCTTGAAATATTTCTCTCCCTTTCAGTAAGCAGTTTTCCCTGTTTTCTCCTTCACCAAGGTCTAGGGCTTGCTCGTTAGCCTGAATTCTGGGTTCCCAACCCATTGTATTCTTCCTTCCCCCTTATCAAATATAACCTATTTTCTCTTATTTTTCTTTGTTTTACACAGTTCTATAAGGTATTGGGAAGAAAATCTGAGAAATTAATTTGGAATGAGATTTTAGTAAATTATAATTTTAAAAAATGCCTTTACTCCCCAGGTCATAATTATAGTTTGGTATGGACTTTCTTTATGAGTGCCTGATCATTCAAATTTTAATTACTTCAGTGTCACCTCCTCAGAGTAGTCTTTTTAAACCATCCTCCTCAAATAGTTCCCCTATCCCTCTCCTGTTTCTCTCTACATCATTCAGTTTATTAACTTCCTAGTGCTTCCTATTATTTGAGACTGTCTAGTTCATTTCTGTTTATTTGTTGTCTGTCTCTGCTCACTATAATTTAAGCTCCACAAAGGTAGGGATATAGTCTCTTTTGTTGGCTATTATATCATCAATGCTTAGAACAGTACCAAGCCCATAGTGGAGAGTCAAGAAATATTGTGTGAATTAATATGGAATTTCAGGAACTGAAGCAGGAATAGGGAGAACCATTTTTGGCTAGGAAAGCCTTTAGGTACTCTTATCACATCTGTCTCTTTCAACCTTGTACTGGGTTTGACTCAATTAGTTCTAGAGTGGACTATAATGTGGTTGGCTGATATCACTGGGCCCTTGGGTCTGGCAAGGTCATCTGCTACATGGTGCTAATAATAGCTACTCTCTTTATAGTTAGGAGGCTCATAAAGGTATACTTAGAGCACCTTTCAGTGTTAAAAGCTATGAATCTATGACTCTTTTTTTTTTTTTTTACCACCACTGCCACCACCACCACCACCACCGCCACCACCACCACCACCACCACCACCAACAACAACAACAACAAAAGGAAAATCAAAAAGAAAATAAAAGGAAAAAAGGCAATGTATAGCTTTGGCAGAAGGAGCCACTTAACCTTTGCCATCTAAGCGTCTTCTGTTTGTACAGTGATGGCTCTGGCTCTCAGGTGTGATGACAGTATTCTGGGGACCCTTGAGTAATTGTGAGACAACATGGAAAATGACAGAGAATACAAGCAAATAATAAAAAACACATTTCAATAAATCTGTAGAAGACAATTGCTTAAGGTTGAGATTTAAAAAAAAAAAAAATCAGTGAGGATGGTCCTGCCCTGAACAGAATGGCAATTAAAAAAAAATTATTCTTTTCTTGCTTTGGTTTCATTTTCACCCAATGTGGAGCGTGACTTGATTGTTGTGTATTGTGGTTTAATACAGCTCATCATCATGTTTCTTTTCCATAGCAGCAAAGTGGGCTGAAAGCTTGAGGGATTTCTTCTGCATTAATTCCCCAGATCTCATTCCTGGTCAGCACCGTGCAGCTCATTTCCATTAAGCAGATAGTCCTCCTTACTCTTCTTTGCTTCCAGACTCATAATTCTGTGCTTATCTGTACTGAACTTCATTTGCATTTATTAGCTGGGTAGGTACTTGAAATATCTAAAACCCTTTTATCTGCCTGCTTTGTTTCTCATTATTTGCTGTCTCTTCCAATTTAGTATTAACCGCAAACTTGAAATGTTTCTTCTGAAACTGTTGTTCAAATTCTTTGCATACCAATGTGGCGCCTGGAACTGATGTCTGCAGGGATCCCAGTCAATAACCTGGTTCTGTCTTGAAAAGCTGTAACTTCTCACATTTTACTTTTCTCACTTGACTGACTGAGTATGAACTGTTTATGTAGATTTGTTTAGTTCTCTACTGAACATTTGAACTCTTGAGCTTCCCTACTGTGGTAGACAGTGTGCTAAGGCATACGGCAATGAACAAGGGAGGGGCTTCTTGCCCTCATGGGGTGCACAGCCTCTTCAGTGCAGAGAACTGTATATATTGTCCATATTGTTTTGTCCTCCACTCAATTCCCCCAATTTTCTTGAATTGCACTTTGTTAATGTTTTGGGACTTCATTGAAGAATATTATACAGAATGACATTATGCAACTCAGGATTATTTAAAAGATACTGTTTATTTCATTTTTTTCTTCACAAAGACTTATGGGAGAAATTTCTTTCATATTTCAGCATCAGTGTAATGTTTTAATATTACACCGTAATTCAAGAATAGATTATACCTATTTTCTGTGAGTTTAAAAGCAAATTTGTAACCTGCTCCTAGAAAATGCACCAGATCTCATTATGGAGCTTTAAATACTAACTTCACAGGGGTTTTGGCCTGTCTCTTTCTGGCTTCCCTATTTTTGCCCCACTTCACAATCTCCATCTTCCAAAACTGTATGATTCCTTTATTGGCTTTAAGAAAACTAAGTCTTATTTTAAGTATTTATTCAAACTGTCCTAAACCCTTTCTGTAACAAAATAGGGTATAAGTAAATAGATGACTTATATGAACCTGGAGTGGGATGTGTTCAAGTTTGAGGCCTGGGTTCACATTACTTACCCTTCCCAAACTGGTGTTCTGGGATGAGCCTGGACTGCATGAATAACTGTATAAAGTTGGACAAGTCACGTGACCTCCCTAAGTATTAGGGGTTCCATGTGCAAATGGAAAGAATTGTTTGATCAGATCTGTAATGTCCTCAGCATTAACATTTTATGTTTGCAAAACAGATTTGTAATTGTGCCATCAACATGCCTACTTTTCATCTTAGAACCTAGTTGCCTTCTTAGCAGAGTTTTAGTTGTTGGGTGTCTGATGCTAGGTTGCAGAGTTAAGAGACTCAACTCAGGAATTCGAGTCTACTAAGTAAGGCTGAGCAGCAAACCAGAAGTGAGGCTTCTCTGTGATAAGGACTAAAGCAAGGGCAGGCTTCAAGGGCTACCCAAAGGAGGGAGCAAACTCAGACTTCAGGAGTTAGGGAAGACATGGGAAGACGGAGATATGAGTAGCATTTAGAAGGGCAGGAAGGAGTTAGGAAGGCATTTTTGGCTCCTGGAAACCACATTTTCCAGCATGCTGAGACATGAACAACTAGTTTGTACTGATGGCAGAAGTAGACATTTTGTTCCTTTAGAGATTGGAGATGGTGGGAGGTAAGACTGTAGAGTCAACAGAGACTGGATGTTGAAGGGTTGTCTCTGCTGAGATATTTGGATCTCATTCTAAATATTATGGTGATCTGCCAGAGAATTTTATATGAGGTGAGGAGAGGTGGGCAGATTTGAAATTTAGCAAGACACCCTCTTATATGAGTATAGATGATAGATTCTAGATGTTTGAAGGGCTATAAGGTTACTTATGTTGGGCTGATCCAGGTAGTCTGAAATATAATAATAATAACAATAATAATTATAGTAGCTAACATTTATTGAATATATATTAAGTGCCATTTGCCTTATAGGTATGGTCTGATTTAATCCTTGCATTAGCTCTATTATTCCTTTTACAGATAAGAAAACAAGCTGGAAAGTTTAAGTACCTTGTCCAAGGCCATATAGCTGGCAAAGGATGGAGCCAACATAATCATCTCTGTATCTTCCTTTTAACTACAACCATGTACTGATTTGAGTTTAGGAGAGAGGTCTGGGATGGAGACGTGCATTTGGCCTATTATATTGGTTGATGACGTGAATGAAGATAGAAGCTTGGTGATACAGTTTGACTCTGTGTCCCCACCCAAATCTCATCTCGAATTGTAATCCCCACATGTTGAGGGAGAGATCTGGTGGGAGTGATTGGATCATGGGGGCGGTTTTCCCCTTGCTCTTCTCGTGATAGTGAGGAAATTCTCACAAGCTCTGATGGTTTTAAAATAGCAGTTTCCCCTGGACTTTCTCTCTGTCCTGCTGCCATGTAAGATGTGCCTTGCTTCCCCTTTGCCTTTCTCCATGATTGTAAGTTTCCTGAGGCCTCCCCAGCCATGTGGAATCGTGAGTCAATTAAACCTCCTTTCTTTATAAATTACCCAGTCTCAGGTAGTATCTTTTTTTTTTTTGAGACGGAGTCTCATTCTGTCTCCCAGGCTGGAGTGCAGTGGCACAATCTCAGCTCATTGCAACCTCTGCCTCCTGGGTTCAAGTAATTCTTGTGTCTCAGCCTCCTGAGTAGCTGGGACTACAGGTGTATACCACCACATACAATCTGTTTATTGTGTCTGAGCCTAATTTTTCGTATTTTTAGTAGAGATGGGGTTTCACTGTGTTGGCCAGGTTGGTCTCAAATTCCTGACCTCAGTTGATCTGCCTGTCTCAGCCTCCCAAAATGCCAGGATTACAAGCGTGAGCCACCGTGCCCAGCCAGGTAGTATCTTTATAGCAGTGAGAATGGACTAATACACCCAGGTATCACCGACATATTGGAATCCACTGGAGTAAGAGGGGGCTGTGAATGAGGTTAAGAAATAGAGGAGATATAGGAAGAAAGAAAACCAAGAGAGACAGTATCATGTAGTGCTCAGGGACACTGTTGCCACTAGATACTAGCTATGTCATTGATAGCAATCTGTTTATTGTGTCTGAGCCTGCTGTGTTTTTCCTTGTAAAATGGGGATAATACTACTTTTTTCCTTTTTTAAACAGTAGGTGTATATATTTATGGGATACACAAGATGTTTTGATACAGGCATGCAATGTGTAATAATCACATCATGAAAAATTGGGTATCCATCCCCTCAAGCATTTATCCTTTGCATTACCAACAGTCCAATTATGTTCATTTAGTTATTTAAAAATGTGCAATTAAATTATTATTGTGCTATCAAATACTAGGTCTTATTCTTTCTAACTATTTTTTTGTACCAATTAACCACCCTTACTTCCCCCTACCTCCCCATTACTCTTCCCAGCCTCTGGCAACTGGGGTTAATATTATTTTAAAAGCTTCTCTGAAGTATTAATCCGGATATTATTTATCAATCTGTTCTATATCTCATAGGAAGTGTTCAGTAAATGGTGGCTGCTGTTATTACTTCAAAGCAGAAAACAACAAAAGAGAGAGTTTTAAGGAGAAGAGAGTAGCCACCATTTTCAAATGCTGCAAGAAAGTACGTGGGCAACAGGGACAGTGTAGCATATGTGTTAGAAACAAAAAGAACAGAGTCCAGGAGTTTTAATAACTATGAAAACAGCAGGAAAATGTTTCCCTCAGTCATGCATCTGCTATTAATTTTACATTACAGAGAACAAATATCCCTGGTGTCAGTTTTCTTCAAAATCAATCACAGTGAATTCTATGAATTATGAATGCCAATACAAATGAAATGAAATGTTGATATTTATAATTACTTGAAAATAACATTGCACTGAAAAAGTTTTAAGACACCTTATCATTTAGAACATTAAAACCTACTGTATACTGATGACAAATGAGGGGCTTTGGCAAATGGCAAAAGAGAATGTAGTTTAAGATTTAAACTTTCTATCCTCCAATCCCCACTTCATGGTGTCATCTTTACAGAAGCAAGAGAGGCTCAGGAACCCCAAAATCAGAGAGGCCTTTAGATTTGAGTGGCTATTTTTCCTTTGATTGGGTCCTTGATGTTGGACAATTTCCTTTACCTCCTTGTCACAAATTTTCTCATCTGTGAAATCTGAAGGATGCATTTTGGATTTGATATAAAATCTCTCAGTATTAGAATCATGGCAACCACTAAAAAGTCACCATGGGCTAAACAAATCATGCTGTGGGCAGAATTTGGTTTCCAGACCACCAGTTTGAAACCTCTGGCTCACACATATTTTCAATATAAATCTGAAATTTTAGTTAGAAATGATTGGGAGCACTCGCTGTATGCTTGGCCCACAAAACTGCCAGGCTGACCAGAGGTTAGGGGAAGTTTTAGTCAAAGGTTTTGACCTTAATGGAGTTAAAATATTCTTGGAAAGATAAAATTTACCAATGGGAAACTCAGAATTCAGAGTTCTGGAAAAGTGGAATTATAAGGGGGTTGGAGATTAATTAACCCAAATACCCCTTCTTATAGGTAAGAAATCTAAATCCGAGAAAGACCCAAATTCACAGGGCTAGTGAGTAGCAGAGCTGATTCTTGAACAAGACTTTCTGAGTCCTAGTAAAGGTCTCTTTCTGGTCCTCCAGGTTGCAGTTCACTCCCAGAGCTAGGCACGATAAGGCTAGCTCGGGGAGTCTGGGGAAAAAAAAGCAAACTAAAACTGCTACTGCAATTAGAACCAACGAATTGCCCCTTCCAGGTTGAAGTACTCTTCTGAATGCTGGCGGAAATAGGGAGAAAATTGGAAAGAACAAGCAAGATTCTTTTTCTCTCCCAGTCCTTCCCCTAATTCCCTTTATTGGTAGAGCCCACCTGGCAAGGCAGACATATGATTTGCAGAGCCCAATTCTAGTGCTACAAAGCCAAGTTGAGAAGAGTGAAGGTGAGGCTTAGAGACAAAGTTTTCAATAATCAGCCCAATCAGCATAGTGGTCAGCAGTGAGGAGCTTGCCTGGGGTGGGAGGCTTGTGTGCAGGATTGGTGGGAGATAAGGCTGTAGAGCTTGGCTGGGACAGGTGTGGACAATTTAGAATGTTGGGAAGCGCTATTTAGGCTTAGATTTCATGAGGGACTTAAAGACTAGTAAGAAAGGTGGGATTCTGAGTCATGATTGTATTTTACTTATTCAGTTGGGTTCTCTTGACAAAGCCATTTTTCTGTTTAAGTGACTAGATGGATAAACAGATGTTAGTTTTAAGAGAATGGATCTTTCTCAGGAATCAATAGAAGGAAGCAGTAACAAGTCAAGTCTTGAAGCATGCAAGGAAGGTTTTGTATAGCAGAAAGGCATAGCCAGAATTTACAAGGTAGAATTTAGCTGCAATCTCCTATTATTCTACACATTGACATGTATACTTTCCTCACGAGTCTATCGGCTTCCAAAAGGAAAAATTATGTCACATTTTACTTTTGTATCTGCTTGGCTCAGAAGATTGTCAAACACAAAAAGTCCTAAATAAGTGTTAAGTAGTTCGACTTACGTAATATTTTGCGAAACACAAGATGTCTGTGACAGAGATCATGCTATGTATCTATCCAGATAAGAATCAGTCTCACTTTAGCTCATGTGAATTTATCATTGGCAGCATAAATAGATTGGATGCAATGCCATATACTAATCAAAATGTGGTAGGCTTCACAAAAGTGTCTTGAATTCATTAGCTTTTGCTGGAAATCTTTCTGTGTATCAAACAGTCCTCAAAATTCAATGGTTTTGGAAATAAATAAGGGTTTATTTTTCCTCATGTTACATGTCAGTGGCTGTATGTCAGTGTCTTAGCTCTGTGCTTCAGCTCTGATCCAGCTTGGTGGTGAGATTTTGATTGATGTGCTCCACACACTGTATTAATTTTAGGACCTAAGATAAAGGAGAAGCCCCTGTTTGGAACAAGAACCCATTCTCATAACAGTGGAGAACAGCCAGACTGAGCCAAATCAAACCACAAGGGGACACTGACAAAACTGTCTCAGAATTAGCACATGTCCCACTTGTCAAAGCAAGCCATGTTGTCAAATCACAGAACAGGAAAGTTTATTTCTCTTACTGGGTGTAGGAAAGAATGAATGTTTGCACTCAATAATACCATCTACCAGACTGGCTAGGCTGTGATGCCTAGTTGTTTGGTTAAACATTAGTGTAGGCGTTGCTGAGAAGGTATTTTGTAGGTGTGATTCATATTTACAATCATTTGACTTTAAGTAAAGGAGATTGCTCTGGTTAATGTGGGTGGGTTTCATCCAATCAACTGAAGGTCTCAGAGCAAAAGTTGAGGTTTCTTGGAGAAGAATTCTGCCTCAAGATTGTAATATAGAAATCCTGCCTGAATTTCTAGTTTGCCAACCTGCCTACAGATTTTGGACTGGCCAGCTCCCCGACCTCTCTCTCTCGGGTTCTATTTCTCTGGAGAAACCTGATGGTTACTCTCTTAAGTTTAGGTGTGCTGTTTTTTTTTTTTGTTTGCCCAGTTTAAAGCAGAAGCAAAGTATAATCAAGAATATTTCTCTTGTACTAGTATCACTTACCTTTAGAGAGTGAAATTTTAGTATTAACAGAGTCAAGGATAGAGAAAACAGGCCAGATCCTGACCTATGCATAGGTATCAAAGCAAAACGGAGAACAAGGTAGTTAGTAAATGGGTAAGCTAGGTGAAAAAGTCACTGGTTCTGAGTTGCAATCCACTAGTAAGAACATGCCACAAACCTAAAAACCAAATACCTGAGCTTGTGAATACTGTTCTGATTATACTATTACAATTCATTTCCATCAAACCAAGTTCATATTTAATGAAGTAATATTAGGGTACCTTCAGATAATGACAGGTCAGGAGATCTGCTCTGTTCATCTTCTCTTGGTACCTGACACTGTCTGTGAATGGGCCTTTTGTTTATATATTCATTAATTTATTGTTTAATCAATTAATATTAACTGAGCACTGTTATGTGCAAGGCACTGTCCTGTGGCTGGAGACAGTTAGTACATAGAAGGTACACAGTTCCTTCCTTCATGGAGCTGACATTCTAGTGGAAGAGTTAGACATGTGACAATTGCACACATTATTAATTGCTGCAGAAAAAGTGGAGATGGCTGGGCCAGAGATGTGTTTCAGGAAGAGGGAATATATGGAAAGCACCTGAAACAGAGCATGATAGACTTTCTTTGAGGCACAGAAAGCAGGCAGGTGCAGCTGGAGTTCATAGAGCCGGAATGGAGGGGTGAGGAGTGAGGATGCAGGGCTGGCAGGAGCTTTGTCAGGCTCTGTGGACTGAGTAGGCACTGTTGTCTGTATCCTATGGCAACCAGAAAGCCATTGCAGGGTGTTAAGCAGGGGTGTGAAGTGTTTGTGAAGGAAAGAATTAATTAGTGAGTAGGGGTTGTTTGAGTTACAGATATGGTAATTGTATTAAACAATACATGGAGACTGCAACTTTTGATGATTCTATACAATTGTCTTAATTTTTGAGAATTTTTTTTTCCTGGTAGAATATAATGTGTGTTACATAGCATAGTGGAGATATATGTTGTATCTGTATCTATATAGGTATTTATTTGTTGTTTTTGGCCTACTTCCTGTAAACATAAAGTCTTATATGAGCAAAAACAGAGGTCAAATTTATGATTTATCAAAAATGAAGAATAGTACCGCTAATCATAAATAAGGACCAATTATTAAAGAAACACAAGTTTAAATTTTTAGGAAAGTTTGATAACGAGGAAGAGTTTTTTTTTTTCCCAAAGCAATGATACAGATTTAATTATTGGAAGTTAATATTACAAGCAAGGATTCTTCTTTGCCCAGCTTTATTGAGGTATAACTGACCGATAAAAATGATATATATTTAAGATATACAACGAGATGTTTGGGTATGCATATACATTGTAAAATGATTACCACAATCAAACTAATTAACATATCCATCATCATGCAAGGATTCTTAAAAATCTTCAAGGCTGTCAGTTTTATTATAAATATTATAAGTCAACATAATGTCTGTACACCGTTCATAATGGATGGTTGAATCACATACAGTTATAGCTAATCAAAAACCATTACAAATATATTTACTCTCTTTAAACACTTTCATATTTCATTACAAATGGCCGATTGAACACTTCCACATCCATTACAGTATTATATTTCCATTCAATTTACTATTAAGAGTTCTTGAACAGCTACCGTGTAATAGTAGCTATTGTGAATTATAAATATTTCATCACCTCTCTATGGTAATCCATTTCTCATTTGCTTGCCAAAAGTTATAAAGTGCTTATTAAACATTGATAAATAATATTACAGCACATGATATGAAATATTGTCTTGCAAATTAGCTTATTGGTAAACCTTGAAGTTGGTGATACTTTAATCTGTATTATTCAGTCTTCATAATTCATTATAAACAATGATTATTGCTATGTCATTGGACTGTGGAGAAATGGATCATTCTCAGAGACAGCATCACCAACTTGAGCAATTTTCTTATTATACAGAGTTAATTAGGTGTGTGCCTGTTAGCCTCTGAGGGAGGGCAAGTAGGAGTAACAGTGCTATTTTCCATCTAGTCCTTTATTAGAATCATAGGGAATCTTCAAGCTTACTCTGGCCAGCTTTCACTATACATTTTCTTTATTCTGAGTCTCTTTTTTTTTTCCAAGTTGGGCATCATCCTGTTCAGTATTTCCAAAGTTAGTGGCTTAGACATTCTGCTATGATTTGAGAGAGACATTTAACTATTTGTGGTAGGTCAAAATCATGGAGAAGAAAAAAAATCTGTGTATGTTATAGTTAATAGAATCAAAGAATGTTACAGTGAAAGATAACTTTAAGAATCATTTAATGTGGTGATAAATTTGTGTGGCAATGTTCCCACATTCCCCTTCCATGGCAGACATTACTAATTGAACACAGCACTCTTTCTGGCTGCATCTGGATTCAATTCGATATTGAAACACAGTTCTCCAGGCTCCCACTATTAATTTACTATCAGTGGGATGTCAGGCGAAATTTCTTTTCTGTCCTGGACCATGTCCAGCATCTCACTTTACAGGCAAGGAAGTGGAAGTTCATAGAAGTGAAATGACTTGGCCAAAGTCACTTTTCTATGTTAGAGATGTAGCTGGGGTCCAAGCCCTTGTCTCCCAACTCCAAAACTAGCATTCAGCCTGTCATCCTTGATAAAGCTTTTCTTTCCTTCTACTTTTCTCTTCCTTAGGCCTTTCCAAATGACAATCTTTGTTTTCTCATGCAATTTCAATGGTGGAAATCATTCTTAGTTTCCTGAATTGCTTGAATTGTGTTGTCACTTTTGCCCCCATTTTTTTTTTACCCCCAAACTTGGTGTTTTTCAGAGGAGGCTCTAGATGAAGTACGGATGTTTAGCAATACCTATGGTAGAAGAAATATTTCTTTGTGTATTAAATGCATACATACCTGATATAAACGTATGTAAGATGTCAATTTTATGTTACTACTTTTAACACTAGAGTCAGTTAATTCCAAATTCAAATTCATTTTCTAATGAACAATTGAATGAAGTTTTTGCTTTAGTGAAAATATTTTATGAAAGACAAGTGTGATAATTGTCTTGTTTATTTACAAGAAAAAGGATGACGGGTAATATATAATTCCCTGAGAAAAATATGAGACTTTAGGGAGAAAGATGCTACCTTATCTTTAGTGGAGGATAATGAAGAAACCACTCTGATTTATTTCAATAGATGCCCAGTGTGGTACCAACATTATGGGTCCTGAGAATTGTAATGGGCCTCTTATTAAAAATCACATTAACCCTCTGTTGACTTTAATGACTTTTGTCTTTTGGAAGTTGGTATTCTTTCTTTATTCCATATGGGACTCATTACTCTGAGGGAAAGTTAATAAGTTCTCTTCCAGACCTTCTTTGCCGTGAGGCCTTGTTAAATTCCAAGACTAATAGGACATGAATTGAGCCAATAAAAAGATACCTTAACACTTAAAAAACAGAAAAAAATGAAAAGGCAATTGGCAATAGCATTAAAGAATAACCTTAAACATTAGCTTCAGAGTTCATAATGATCTAGTTTTTTAAATATATAATCTGCTTGTCTTGATGATGTATGCATACTTCCACCTTATCTGCATTTAGCTCTGTGATTAACTATTTGGAATAACATTCATGGTAACTGGGAGCTAAGAGGTTGCTTGTCAGTTAGCACAAAGTGCTGGTGATTAACTTCCTAAAGCACCTCTACTGTTGGGTAAAAAATAGGCTCGATAAATTTATACCATGTCATATGGTATGACAGAAGCTCATCCATCCTCTGATTTCAAACAAGTTATTAGAAACAGGTTGAGTTTCTTGAGGAATATAACCCCAAATTGACATTTATATAAGACCAATTCATTTTATAACAGTGATGACTCACTTTGAAAAGGATGTATAGTAACAAACTTAGCAGGTATTTTGAGCTGACTAGGAGTGCAAATTCTTGTAATTTGACATTGTTTCCAGGAACTCTTGGGAAAGTGAAGTCTAAGTCACAGGAGGCCTAGGGACTTTCAGTTGCTATTTGTGGATGCCTGGGGAGCTCAGATGAAGGGCAAATGTCATTTCTGCAATTTGTAATGGGTTGGTTGGCACAAACAGCATGATAGGAATCTGAGGAAAATCAGAAAAAAGAGTTTCCTATCTTTTGAACTGAAAAGAAATAATTTGGTGCTACAATGATTTTTTAAAGTTAACAAAAGTAAACATAGAAACGTTTCACCTATATCTCCTCTAAGAATGATATATTCTATAAACACAAACAAGTAAAAGTTAATGTTCTTCTTTAAAAAGTAGCCTTTACTGGTCCATTTCTATGGGTACTAAGGCTGTTTCTTGAATCATTGTATTTTCCTCTGAATAGAGATGGCAGAAGTTTTAAGTTGCTAAGTGTTCAGCATTGATATTGGTTTGGACATGTGGCAAAACCTCCCTAATTATCAGTTTTTCTCATCTTTTAACTGGAGTCAATAATACCTGCCCTTCTTGTTCCACAAGGCTAGTGTATCACATGAATCAATGTCTATAAAAATAATTGGTGATCAGGGAAGAATGAGACAATTTTAACGAGAAAGAGAGTTCCAGCTGAAACTTATTTTTAGTTGAGGAAGTACAGTGAGTTTCTCTGTACATGTTTTTCTAACCCAAGTTTGTAAGATTCACTGTTCTTATTAAAATATTGCCTTGAAGAAGGGCTTAGCAGTTGTAAGATCTGAGACTCTAAATAATCCCATTGTCTATTTCAGATGGATTTAACATATTCCTCCTTGGTTTTCTGCTATCTCTTTGTTATTTATGCTTCATTATAAACCATGTTTTAGATGAACCCACAAACACAGAAGAATCAATAATTCAATATCTTTGGGGAAGTGGGTAGGTTCATTTGTAGCAGTGAAAAACGTAGTAGGTATATTCCAGTTTTAAGGCCAGTTATATATTTTAAGTTTGTAGTTATTACAAATAATAGAAGTCAGAAGGAAAAAGAAAACCCCATCTCCAAATCTCAGCATTCCAAAATGCAATCTTGGTGACAACAGGGTTATTGTGGTAGAGGAAAGAGACCTGACTGATATTTTATACTCCTTCCTTTACTTATTGTTGAGTAGACATTGAGGTGATAGCAACAGCAAGTAGCCCCATAGCAATGTCTCATGCCCCTCGTCAAGGGCATCCTAAGTGCCAGGTGCAGTGCTGGGTGTTTACATGCATTTCACATTTGCTTTCCTAACGTCCCTGTCAGACATTCCTACTCTATTTTACAGACTGGGCAGTGAGCTTGGAGAGGTGAAATGCCTTACTAAAAGACACACAGCAGGCAAGCAGAGATGGCAGGATATGAAGCCAGATCAATTTGATTGCAAAATCCAAACAGTTTGAAGCTCTGCATTGCACTGTCACCCTTCATCCCCCGAAATTGTGGATGCCTTTTTAATTTGTATTTCAAAATACTAGCTTCTTGTGTAGTTCACTGAAATCTCAGTTCTCTGCATTTTTTCAAGTTTATTTCTTTTTCACAAAAAGAAAGGAAAACGGAAAGGAGGGTAGGGAGAAAGAAGCTCACTTAGGTTAAATCAGTTTTTGAGGGTTTTAGTTCTTATTTCTCAACAGGATGATATACTTCTGTTTTAAAAAATTATCTGTTCTCCTTCTGTAACCAATTTGTTAATCACGTTTTGGTGACTGACTTTTGGGCACATTTCCCAGAAACTTTAAGGCAACCCTTAATAAACACTAATAAGTCTGCATGCAGAAGCAGCCTATTATTATTCATGGACAGTATTACGTAGAATTAAACTTTTGGAAACTGCACCAAACACATTCAGCTAGACATGAAAGTAAGCTGAATTTCCATTTGGTTTGCTTCTTGCTGAGCCTTCAAATTATAAAGTGAAACAAAGCCAAAAGATTAATACAATGAAAACAAAGATTGGGAAATTAAATGACACGATGCAATTTTCTGCCTCATCGGCCTGGCACCAATAATATGCAAAGGAAAGTCTGCTTAGTGTTGGTTAGCTGCTGTATAAATGCAGGACAATCAGTCTCCTTCTCGAGGGAGACTATTTTCTTGAATCATATAGCCATTGACTCTTCCAATTACCAGAGCCCCCCCACACAGTTCGGCTTTATCTATTTTTTTTTAACTTGCTGCTGTACTCTGCCAAGGTATTATTATTATTAGCGTTTACACAGGTACATGCTTTTACCTTATCTGAAATATTTTAGTGATAGCTTCAGAGCATATATAAAAACCTGGAGCCTACTACCACAAATATAATTAAATAATAATAATATTTTGGAAAATGGGTCTTTATGGGCAGTTGGAGGCCATAATGGAGTATCTTTAAATCACAGCTATCAGAGGAACATTAGCTCACGGTTGATGTCTCACATTTGGGCCTCTGTTGACATGCCACTCATAATGTATCATTGCTGATCATTGTCAAGATTTGTTTTAAAGTGATCTGGGTAATAAGAAATAGCTCTAAGCCACCCCTAATGTTATTTGAAATTACTTTTATCACAGTTGTATTCAAAGGCTGTCATGTTTATACTACCAGAATTCTCCAGACGATTCAGAAGTCCTCTGGAGAATTAAATTGTGCATTAACTTTCAAATTTCCCTCTAACTCTGCCAGACAATATAAACCAGTCAACACTAATCCATCTCCGGCAAAGTGTGGTGTACCATATTTTATCTGAGGAAGGAAAATAAAGAACAGACTGCTGCAGGCCCCCAGCACCTTGGAGAGAGAGTGTTCTCTCTGATATCACTTCTGGGTTATCTGCAGAAAACAAACTTGAGTATAGAGGACTTGCCCCATGACCCAAGGCCTTCAATAGGCTTCTTGCCCATTTTTTCCAAAGGCAAATTCTTTCTAAAGGGAAACGTGTGTGTGTGTGTGTGTGTGTGTGTGTGTGTGTATGTATGTGCACATAATTGTTTTTATTCATTGCAGTAATAGAGGGCAAAATATGCAAAGGAAGTAATATTTGCTACAGTTGATAATCAACTCTCTACTTGTTTGGTAGACTCTACTTAGTTATTGTACTCTGGAATTTTCTATAAAAACTCATTTTTAGAAATCAGTTTTAGACTTTTTTTCCCCTTTGGATTTCTCAAGTGTCTCTGGAGATATTGATTTCAAATTTTCTATTTAAGCAATCAAAATGCTTAAAAGATGTGTAAAATTATTTCAAATAATGACAAATGAAAACTAAAGCTGCCTTGCGGTCAAACATCCAGAAATGGAAAGGAAACAATTGGGATGAATCATATGGACTAAAGCAGAGTGAAGAGAAAGGACCCTTACAGTTGCCAGATTTTTTTCCCTGTTTTCTTTTACTTTTTTGCTGCTTTTTTTAAAATATAAAAAGGTAGATATTAGAATTTTAGAATGATTAGCTTAACATTCACTCCAGTTTTGTAAAACAATGTGCCCTGTTTTTTTCTTGCTGCCTTCTAATTTGTATCTTGCTTACCTCCCAAATATGGTTGGGATGAAGATAGTCAAAACCAACTGTATTTGAGACTCTCTGATGTGGTAATTTTGAAACATGATAGTCAGCCTTGAAAATAATGAAGCAGAAATATTGCATTTCTTATCCTGACTCTTCTCATTATTATTATTTTTTCTTCTTAATGGAAATAAACCACCTTTACCCTAGAAAAAGAATACTTCACATTTTGTACAAAATTCTGAAATGAATTTAGGACCGACATTATATCACTTGAGAGAAATACACTGAAATGTGTAATCTCACCTTTTGGGAGCTTAATCAAGTGCACAGAGACTGAAGAATTTCTTTTTGGTTTATTATTAAAATGAAAGCTTCAGGTTTTCCTCACTGCCTTTCTTGAAACAGTTCGGCATGGGTAAGTGCATGGGTTCTGGAGTATGACGGCCCTGATTTGAATCTGGCCTCCACCACTTAGAGCTATTGGCCTTGGGTAAATTACTACATAGCTCTGTGCCTTGGTTTCTTCAGCTCTCAAATGGGGATAATAACAGGACCTTTATCACAAAACTGTTGTGAGTACAAATTGAGTTAATACACTTGAAGTGCTTAGAACAGTGTCTGTCTCTTTTGTCAGATGTTTTTCATGGTCTGAATCTTCTTAAATAATAAAATAGTTCAAGAAAAATAAAGGTTAATAAAAAGATGGCGACAAGCCCCTAATGATTAGTAGCAGTTTTCTGGGCTGTAAATGTTCTTTTCGATTTTTCTTTATACAATATTTCAGGGACTCTTGATGCTTTCATTACCTTGGTGGAAGGAAAAGAAGGAATGAAATACAAAAGCATAATGGGCAAATTTTTAATAGAATGTCTTCCCAGATGAAGGAGCATTGCAAGTGCTTCAGTCTTCAACATAATCTATGGTTGCTGAACTTAATAATAAAATGCATTTTGACTTCATCTACTTTTTTTGTTCATTTAAAGAGAAACATGATTCTTGGTGCACCATCAAGAAAAAAAGTTTTATAAAATTTCAAGGGACTAAAATGCTTCTACAGTGGTACAAATTTGTTATCATAAAAAGAATATAATCCCGAGAAGGGAAATAAAATAAGGAAAGATTTTGAGAAGTTTCTTTACTTTCTAGAGAATATCTAACTATGTCCTCTGGTTATTACTAAAAAGCTTTTCTATAGGACCAATGGTGGAAATTGCTATAATTTATATGATTCCAGCTGAATTTTTGCTAAATCAATTATCTCTAAGTGTGTAACTCGATATGGATGTCCTTATTCTCAGCCCTCATGAAACGTTTTTCTGTAATGTGTTGATTTTTCTGTTTCTATGACAATGATGAAATTATAAGGATTTTTTTCCCCTCGGAAATGTAAAACTATTGGTAGAACCTAAAAGCCCCTAGGATTAATTTTTATTTAAATTAAAATATGTTTTGATGACGACTGTAAATGACACTGGTAAAATCATCACTTGGCTTTTGGCTTCTGAAAGCATACTTTGAACTACAATTTCAGGATGCTGATGGTGGTTCAAAAAAGAGAACCCCTCCATTTTCACTTCATTCACACTCCATTGAGCTATAGAAACAGGAGTTAATCCTGCAAGAGTAGTAATTTTCAAGTAAATAACCCCAAGAACCCTGGTCAGACTACCCTAAGATTTTTTTAGTGATAGTTTATAAAGTTTAGACTTTTGCTTCAATCAGTCCATCATTTACTGAAGGGTTAAAGATGAGCTTTGGAAAAGGAAAAGGGGGAGTTTTGGTGGCCATTTCCTTAAGCTTTTAGCATTCCCGCATGGCAGGTTGAGTCACACCCGTCTTTATTAAATGACGCATAATTCAGTGATAAATTGGCTTAGCTCTGCTTGTTACAAGTTGGTCTTGAGGTGTTACAGGGGTCAGCATAGAGGCACCGTGGCTGTTTCATGTCATTAGTTTTCTATGAGTTGCAATGTGTAACTACTCTAACACATGTCTTTCATTAGTGGCTACAATGCATGCTTTGTGTGTGAACATCCTTAGAAGGTAAAAGCCAATTTAGAGTGTTCTCACCTTCCTTTTATGGCAGTGAATTCCATCAGCCTCACATGTGTGTGAAGCTAAAGGCTTTTGTGGTGGGGTCAGGTTCATTTCCCATTTGCATTGCATCCTGCCTGGCTGATCCAGGCTAGAAGCTCTCTCTGAAGTTAGTGGGTGTTGAGCACTGAATAAGACCATAGTGTCAACTTGCCAAATTTCCTCCTCTGTGGAGTTCAGAAAGCTCTTATAATCCCACTTCCGTTACAAAGCTTTCTTTTGCTAAGTGGAAGACAGTGAATTATTTTCTTCCATTAACTCAGATATAAAACCCAGACTTTTGTTTTCTATCAACACGTACACCCCTTGCCCGCCCCCCTACTGGTCCAAATACTACTGACAATGCAATTAGCTTTTGGTAAGGTCTCTGTGTGTGCAAGTAGTTACCTACATGTTAATATGTTCCTTTTGGGCAGATAGATCCTTAGTTACTACAAAGCTAGAACTTGTAAACTCGTCTTGTAGAGCATCTACAGTAATAGTGAACACATGTACATTTCATAAAATGATGAAGATCATGATTTCTGTGCCACTCAATCTTCACCCCTTGTTTAGACTTGTTTTCCTAGTTTAGATTAGATTTGTTTGGAAAGAGAGTAGTTTAGCTGAAATAGGGGAGTCTCTGTGAGAATATGGCTTTGAGTTGGACCAACAGGGGTTCACACCCGGGCTCTATCCCTCCTTACCTATGTGATAATCTCATGTGATTATCTGAGTCTCTGTTTTCTCAGTCGGAAAATGGATATTATAATATTCCTCTCCTGGAGTTGTTGTGACTGTTATATGAGATATTATACACAAATGTTCCCAGGGAGGTTCCTGACACACAGTCAGCACTCATTCATTCATTCATTTATCAAGTATTTTGAAGACCATGTTCCAGGCACTCCTCTAAGTAGGGAGGATAAAAGAGACAAAAAGAAAATTCTCATAGTGAGATGAGAAAGATAATAAACATAGTAAATAAGTGTACTATATTGTGTATTAGACAGTAAGTGGTATGCAGAAAAACAACGTAGATTATGGGGTATGGCAGTTCTAATGCCATAGGAGGGTCAGGAAAGGCTTCTTTGGGAAAACAGCATTTGAGCCAAGACTGAGAGGTGAGTAAATTGTGTGGATATGTCGGGGAAGAGCATTCAAGAAAGAGGGAGCAGCTAAGGGAAGAAGTGTCCATTGAGGTTGGGGCAAGAGTGCAAGAGATGAGACAAAAGGGGTGGCTTCACTTTAGGACCTTTAGGACACTGTGAGGACATGAGCTTTTATTTGAAATGGAGAGTCATTGGAGAGTTTTGACCAGAGGAATAACATGATTTTATTTCAGTGTCTTCAGTTGAGTTCTCCTAGAAACAGACTCTGAGATGTATTGTTGCAGGCAGTGGATTTATTTTGGGAATGTTCTCAGGAGCAACACCTCTGAGGGGGTGAGAGCACAGGATGGAGAGAGCAGGGAGAAGCTGAAATGGAATGCTGCTGCAACAGAGGCTTCCACTGATCCACAGGGAATCCTGGAAGTGGCAGGGTCCTCCAGAGTTGTCCCAAATCGAGGCAAAGGGATGGAGCTTTTGTATCATCACATTGACCAGTCATTGTTTACACTTTAGAAAAGGGCATAAACTTCAGAAGGCAGCTCCCTTTGAATGAGGACAATTCCCAGAAGGGGATTCAAATGTAAGCCATTGGCAGCCAATGTTTTTGGCTGCTGGGGTAGCGAGTGCCTCAGTCCTGAAAGGAGGAATCTGGGTGAGGCCCCACAGCATCATGTTTTATAAGACCAGGCTGGCTGCTACCATAGGGGGAAAGAGTGAAAGGAAGATGACCAGTTCATAGGCTACTGCAAAACTCCAGAAAAGAAGTGATAGTGGCTTGGACCAGTGTGGTGGTGTGGTGGAAATGAGGAGATACAGGATTCTGGATACGTTTTAAATGGAGGGCTGACAGGATTTGCTGATGGATTGGATGAAGGATATGAAAGTAAGAAAGGAGTCAAGGATAATTCCAAGGTTTTTGGCCTGAACAATTGTAGAGATAGTGTTTCTATTAAGGGATGTGGGGAAGACTGAGAGAAGTAGGCTTGGGAGAGGGGCAATCAGGAGCTCAATTTTAGACATGTTGAGTCAGACTTGCCTATTAGATATCCAAGTGGGTGTATTCAGTAGGCGTCTGGATAGATGAGTTTGATCTGGAGAGGTATTTTTGGAATCCTTGCCATATACATGGTATTTAAGACTATGAAACTGGATGAGATCACCAAATGCAGTGAATATATAAGAGACATTCTAGGAATGCTCCCTGAGATCTAGATTCCTTTGGCTATCTTTATGATTAGTAATAAGTTACCACCTTAGAAAAAGAAGATCCTTCCCCCAGCAAGCTATGGGGATCCACTTATAGAAAGATAGTGGTAGAGAGAATAATGGTCCCCCCCAAAATATTAATGTCCTAATCCCCAGAACTCCTGAATTTTTGTGTTGGTTTTGAGACAGGGTCTCACTTTGTCACCCAGGCTGGAGTGCAGTGGCATGATCTTGGCTCACTGCTGCCTTGACCTCTTGGGCTGAAGTGATCCAACTGCCTCAGCCCACCAAATAGCTGGGCCTGCAGATGCACACCACAATGCCTGGCTAACTGTTTTTTTTTTTTCTTCCCTGTATTTTTTGTAGAGATGATGTTTTGCCATGTTGTCAAGGCTAGCCTCGAACTCCTGAGCTCAAGTGATCCTCCCACCTCAGCCTCTCAAAGTGCTAGGATTACAGGTGTGAGCCACCGCACCTGGCTTTGAATATATTATTTTACATGGCAAAAGGGGCTTTGCAGATGTGATTCAGTTAAGGATCTTGAGATAGGAAGATTATCCTGGATCACCAGTGTAATAATAAGGTTTCTTAAAGAAAGGCAAGAGGATCAGAGCCAGAGAAGGAAATGTGATGGAAGCAGAGGTTAAAGTGATGTGCTTTGAAGATGGGAGAAAAAACCACAAAACAAGGAATGCAGGCAGTTTCTCTAGGCTGGAAAAGGCTAGAGCTTCCAGAAGGAGGGAAGCTCTTCGAACACCTTGATTTTAGATTATAAAACTAATTTCAGACTTCCAGTCTCCAGAACTGTAAGATAATAAATTTGTGTCATTTTAATGCAGTAATTTGTTATAGCACCAATTGGAAACTATTGAGCTAAATACAGTTGGCTTTGCCCTGTCTTGCCACACAATTTAGGAACAAAATTTTGTGTTGGGGAATTAGCAATAGGTAACTGTTAAGGATCTAAAATACTGATGTTTGCTTGTAAATAAAAATTCCTTTCAAATATTATATCTCTAGATCTATGTATCTATCTAGCTATGTATCTATCTATCTATTGACCTACCTGCCTACCTACCTGACTATCCTTCTATTAGCTATCATCTTCCTTCCATCCATCGAGCTATCCAGCTATATGTCTGATAAATTTAAAAAAACTTAAATAATTGTTACAAATTGCCTAGTTCTCTAGGATAGTATTACCACTTTATGAATGTAAGACTTACACCATATTGGCTAAAGATCACTACCTCCTTTTAAATATATCATCTAGATAATACATAAGATCTATAAACAGAGAGAAAATTTAATAACTTACTTTGTGTTTCCATTAGGTATGCTTTATGATTTATATACAAAATCTGCATTTGTTTGGAGGTCTTCTCTGAAAGGTAGCTAGTCAATTTGTGCTTGCCAACATTAATGATGCTAAAAGTATAATGTAAAATTCACAAACCACATTATTTTGCTTTGCATTTTAGTTTAAATTAGTGAGATTTAGTTCTATCATTGGATTTTGGAAAAGTTTTTTTAAAAATTGTATTGGTGACTGCATTTCTTTGCCTTCTAAGAGACTTAAAATTTTTACCTTCCAATTATTTTGAATATGAGACTCTGGAGCAAGGGGTTAAGAGCATATGTTTTGGAATCAAGTAGTACTAATTTTAATGCATGATTTTGGCCATGCACTAGCGTGGGCAAGTTATTTTTCTGCTCTGAGGCTCAGTTTCCATGTTCATAAAATGGGAATCATAATTTCTTCCATATAGGAGTGTTCCTTATGGGTCAAGTAAGGGAATATATGTAAGCCCAGGGCTTGGAACATAGTAAGTACTTAAGAAATGGTGGCTGTAATGATAGTTATTATTATTCTTCCATAGTAGCTGAATTAGGAACAGAAGCCTCAAAATCTATCTGAGAATTTATGCCCCTTGTGCTCTTTTATTTTAATAATCCATATATCAGGCCTTTGGTATTCTGCTGCCCAGCAATTTATAGGCCGGTTAGCCCTGGTTGCTGGACACTTCCAGCAGCATGACATTGTCATACATGTCACAGACAGTGCAGGGAAAGAAGAGTTCACCGCCTCCAGAGGCATGTTATTCACCTGCTCCTCCACCATAAGATTTGCTATGTCTTTGAATGATCCCTTGGTTATATTTTTATTTTATAGCACCCTGCATTGACCATTTTGCAAAATAACGATGCTCTTCTTATCAGCTCATCTTCTGCCAGTCGGTAATTTATCTGAATGGGTTCTTTCAGCATCAATATATACAGTACAGGTGTAGGTGAGGCATTGGCTGTAATAACAGTGGGCCGCGGTGCAGCAGACAGGATTTAAAGTACCTATTGCTTACACCAGTGAAATGGATGCTAAGCAGAGTTTGCTATTTTCTAGAAGGGAAAACATCTGGAACTAGGTACAAATTGTTCCCAGAAGAAAACCCCTTTGAATGCTGGTGCTCATTTGGAAGTCTGGGTAGTATCCATATTTAAGCCTGTGCTCTGTTTATATCTTTTATGCTTCATAGAAAGGCAGCTTGGTATAATATAATCAGTTGTGTTTAGTAATTTTAAGGGGGAAAATACCCTAGACTATAACTCTTTTCTACCATTATCTTTTTTTCCCCCTATACTGAGAGAAGATACTACTATCAAGACTGCTTCAAGGAAAGATTTAATTTTTATCCTACCCCCACCTTTCCATCCCCTTTTCAAGTTAAAATGATTTTAAAAGTCCTTTAGGAAGATGCTGAACGCTTAAAGATTATCCTTATGTCCATTTTCCAGTAGTTAGTTTAAAGCGAATATTTTTAAAAGCTCTACTTTCCACTGTCTTTGGGTGGGAGGGCAATGGAAATTGTAGGGAGAGAAGGAAAGCATGTTGTTGAGGTTGGGGGAAGGTTGTCACTTCCCCAAATTTCTGCATTTCCTCTCTTCAATGGACAGTTGGAAAACCTCTGTTGTAGATGATAAATTGAACTTTATTTGCTGCCTCTACGTTTCTCCCCTACCTTTTATGTCTGCTTACTGTTAGTGTGGAAAAAGTGAATGCATTTTAAGCAAATTTAAAAAATGTGAATTTTAAGTGAAAAAGAATGAATTTGAAGCTTCTATCTAAGCCTAAAATATCTGAACTCCTTGTGTCAACTTTGATGTCATTGGAGGCCATGCTGATCACTGTCATAGCTTATGAAAGTCATTTGGCTTCCAAATATTTCTACATAGGAACATTTTACTGAAGCTTTATTCATAACATTTAAATTATGCTTTAACCAATTCCGATGATTAATTTTATCCTTCCAGTATTCTCAGTCCCCATCCCCCTTCCCACCCCCATTCCTGCCCTTCTGCCAGGTTTCCTAACATAGATACTCAGGAACAGCCAATCAAATATGTTACTTGGATCTTGGTTTTTCTTAAGGAATTGATCTGCTCTTCTGTCTCACACCCTCTATGGCTACCTTTTGTGCTTCTTTGGGTCTGTAATCATGTTGAATAGAGCAGTAGATTCACAAATTATGATTGTGAGAGTTAAAGAACAGTGTCTCACTGTTAAGGCAAAGGGTAATGACTTAAAGCATTTGCTAGTGTTTGTTATGAATTACACAACAGCACTTGTACATGTGGAGGGTTGCAGTGCAACTGCAGAGAGTAATCAAGCTGAGTTTCCCACGGGACAAAGCATCATGGGTGTATTTACTAATGAATGGATAGTTTCCTGTACTCCAAGGAGACTGTGACTTCCTTCCAAAGACCTATATGTGTGATCCTCATGGTGAAAAGGAATTTCCCAGAAATGGGAGTCTAGGGAAATAATAATTATTTCTTTATGCTGCAGAGATTTGGGTGAATATTCATCAGGCTTTTTAAAAATTCATAACTTGTGAGAAAAAGTTTTAAGGCAGTTTTTGTTCAGTTGTGAATATAATTATGCCTTCAACTAGTAATTGAGGTATAAGTAATTCACTTTTGAACATTTTGTAATTAGTTGAGACGTAAATACTGGATCAAGGATTTCAGTGATAGAGTTTCCATTAGGCTTCATGCTTTGTATTGCTATTTTTCCTCTGATGCAATTAAAACATTCCTAAATGTACTCAAACATATGTGTGGGTATAAACACAAATGCTTACATAAGTAGGAGTATCATGTACTATGTCCAACCTCAAAAAGGCTAAAAATTTAATAAACAGGGCAACCCTGTCATGAATTCTAACTGTTTCCTGATGAGATAAACAATGACTCTTAATTAGAAGCTAAAATTTTTAATTAAGATGATTCTGCAGTAATTATCCCAGTTGTCTGCTTCACTGGATTTTAATGAAAAAGATTGATTAGGTATAAAACTAGTAGCATAATTAAACATTCAGGGTTGCGCTGGCCACTGAGGTGAGAGTAATGTGATTAAATCCTAGCGTACATTCCTTAACAAAGTATTTTAGACAGTCAAATCTGGTGCAGTGTCTGAAAGCTTCATTTTTATGTGTAGCTTCAACATCTTAAGGTAAAAAAAAGATTCAGCCACAACTGATTCATTTATGCAAAAATATTTATTGAGCACTTACTATGTGCTGAAGCCATGCAGTGGTGTAAGGCATGATCTTTGGAATTAGATACATTTGTTCAACATCTCAGTTCTTTTATTTAGAAGACTTGGGATATTGGAAAGGCCCTATAACCTCTGGGCACAATAGTTGTACCATCTACAAAAGCAGATAATTAATACTTTATGTGGCCGTTGAGTTTGTAAATGAGTTAGTACATGTTCCTACCACAGTTCTGGTACTGAGTAGATGCCTATAAATAGGGGCTATTATTACTATTTCCCTTATTTTAAAAAATGTTCTATAATTTCTTTCAATCAGTCACAGTAAATATGGTGTGCAGATTCCTACTAGTTTATAGAAAACTTAAGCAGAGGCAAAAATTATGTTGATAGGTGATGTTGAGGACTTAAAAGCATGATGGTATTAATTATCTTTGCAACAGTAGTAAACAGATGTTAGAAGTTCTACAAGTTAATATTTTCAAAATTTGAAGGAAATTCTTTCTCTCTTTTTTGCCTTAGTAAGCCACTTCCTGGAAATGCAGGAAAACTGGCTTCTGGAATTGCTTCATTTTCTTATTTGCTTTAGACTGTAGGGTTTAATGAACAAGTTTCTGCATTTGCAAGGATCAATTCACATTATCTCAACTAGTCTCTGTTGGCTGGGGATACTTTGTTTGCCAGGAAGTAGGAATGAGTGAAGAATGTGTGTACAGTGTTGGACAGATTAATCCAACCTAGCTTTGTAGACATATCCTAACTTTATAATCCTGGTCTCCTTGGCCCTGTGCTGTAACTATGTGAATTAGCCACCTACAGACAGAACAAACATAGTGTGACTAGGCATGAGTGAAGAGGAAATTCAGAATAATTGAGGTAGTTAGAGGTTAATCACCAAGTACTTCATAGAGCACAGAGGGAGTTGCAGGCAATTTGTACCATGAGGTGATACAATTCCTGTGCCAGTGAGGTTCTAAGGCATCCTTGAATATTAAGATTATGAGCACTGCATTTATAGCCAGACCGTCAAATCCAGTCTAGAGACATGGATTTGAAACTTAGATCCTTGATTTACAAATAGTATAATCTTGTGCAAGATAGTTTTCCTTTCTGAGACTTTCTTATCAAATGTAATAATCTATGTAAAAATAACAAATCATGCAAAACATGATTCATTCATTCCTATATTTGTCAGTTTCTTGACTACCATATATATGGTAGTCAATATATACAATATATAAAATTTATATATATAGACTACCATATATATGGTAGTCAATATATACAATATATAAAATTTATATATATATATATTAAAAACAGTGACCAGCAGTGAAAATTCAAACGTAAATGAGACACACCCATGCCTTCAAGGAGCTTTCAGTTGACTAGTATATAATTCAACAGAAAATTACCATGTAGAGTGGTAACTACTTGGTCTAACAAGTAGTTAGGTCCACTATGGATGGCTTTGGGAGAGAGTGAAGAGCTGTCATTGGCAAGACTTGTTTATAAATGGACAATTAATTATAAATCTGATGAGTTATATGAATCTAGACCAGAGGATGGGGAATATTTTCCTTCTGGGCCTCCTGGGCCACCCAGTTCATGGTGCACAATAAGTTTCACCAGAATTTCATAAGGATTCCACTAAACTTGAACCCGAGGCTACCACCTGCATATCTGGGGGCTCCTTATGCCACTATGGGAATATATAAAAATGAGGACTGTGTTTTTGGCTGGTTTATTAATCTTACCAAGGAGAAATAATACTTCCTGCTTTTTGTAAAAATAAACAAACAAGTACCAGAATCTTAAATAAATATTTTCTAATAGATGTTGCTGTGGCCAGCTCATTAATATTCTTTCACAATTGTATTTTCAGCGTGGTGATAGTGGTTAGGTGACTGTCTAAAGGTTATAGCATGACAAAAAGCAGGTGTGGATGATTTCATAAGAAACTTAGCGAAGAAATAGATATCACCTGGAGACTGAGGTTTTTAAGACTGGCAGTCAGCTTCTGAAGATACCTTGCCAACTGATAGTTGCTAAACTTGACATTAAGTTGCTATCTTCTTTGGGGAACATTTGAGATTGTACATATGATGGTTGCATTATATTAAGGGTGGGACTCTTTTAACCTTCAAAAACAAGATGAAGGTTGCTTGTGTCAAGCACAAAGGAAATCAGGCCATGAGCTAGGAGAGTCCGCAAGGAGATTCTCTTATGAGGTGGACAGGTCAGTTGCCATGACCTCTGTTACTGAGATGGCAAAGACAAGGAAGCTCAGCTCAGCCTTTTTCTTGTGTGGGCATCTGGACACAGGATGCTGCTGCCCATTCCATTCTTCTCTCCCATTTTCTGGTATTTTGTTGTGAGGAAAGACCATACTATAACACTCATTCTACTTACAAGGTTGTTAGCTAATGCTGCCTGCAAAGCAGAATAGTGGAGGTCAGTAATGTTACTGTCCTTTTAAAAATTATTTTATTTTTATATTTAAGAGACAGAGCCTTGCTCTGTTACCCAGGCTAGAGTGCAATGGTGCAATCATAGCTCATTATAATCTTAAACTCCTGGGCTCAAGGGATCCTCCCACCTCAGCCTCAGCTAGGACTACTGGCATGCACCACCACACCCAGCTATTTTTTTTTTTTTTTTGTAGATACAGGGCCTCACTATGTTGCCTAAGCTCGAGTGATCCTCCCACCTTGGCCTCCCAAAGTGCTGAGATTTCCTGTGTGAGCCACCATGCCCAACTGTTACTATTTTATATGAACTTTTTTGGAGTAGGTGTTGGTTCATTATTTCAATTTTTGAAATATAGGAAAAGTAATTTAGGAAACATGCTTGAGATGGAAGGATCCCAATATTAGAAGATTCTCAGTAATTCATCACTTTTGAACTCAAAAGCCACTTACTTTTTGTTATGTTAATATGGAAAAAAGATGGTTCATAACCTGGTCATTTCTGCTCACAAAATTTTTTAAAATAAACATTCATATCACTTATTTTGCAAAACAGAATATTCCAGCTTGTGGCACTCAACAGTTAATTACTGATACTCCTCTTGTATGTATCAGCAAATGGGATAACAGATGGGAAGTGAGTGACTGTTTTATATTAGTGCCTAATTAGAATGGAGTTTTTATTTATTAATATGAAAGATTACTAATGTGTAGTTATAAATTACAGACACATGGATATTTTATGAAAGTGCAGAATTGAGGTGTTATTTATAAAAATGTATCTACCATTAATATGACTCTTATAATAACATTACTGAATTGCAACTGGTTGGAATGTGTCTTTATTTCCTAGCAGTCTGTGAGTTCCCTGAGGCAAGAATAGACATAGTAGACGTTCAGTAAATTGTGTAGAAATGAATTGCTTTAAGTTATAATGATGTGCTTGTCATCACAAAATCACACTTAGAAATCTAAGAATTTATATTTAAATTCCTCATATAATTTGTAGCCAGTCTGTTGTTACCCGGGTGGTTGGATAATATGGCATATGAATTGATTTTTTTTTCATATATGACTATTACTTTTTTCTTTTCCTTCAAAATTTTAGCATTAAATATAATTTAATTGATAATATGCTTAACTTAAATATACTTTATTTCTAATAGTCTCTCAATCTAAATTTACAGGTTTCAAGAAATTTGAATGTTTCATGATCCCTGGTTGCAGTGAACACTATTCATAGTGTCAGTATACTTTTAAAAATGTGATTATACTGAATATGTGAACTTTAATGACCTGCTGTGTACAACTGCTTAAAGGAGTGGCTTTTGAGTGAAGTTAACGTGTATTTACCTTCTTTCCCTGATTACAGTTTTCTCCCATCAATCTAGTCTATAACTCAGTGAGGACTGTGACTGGATTTATTACAAAAATAGGTAAAATTGGTAAAAAAAAATTCAGCTATAACTTGGAACCATGGGATGGACACACACACACACACACACACACACACACACACACACACACAGGCTTGTGGAAAATTAAAGGCTTCAGGCAAATTAAAGTTTGAAAACATAAATTATATGCTAAGCTGGTCTCTACATGCAGTGGAGAAAGTTCTGTAAGGATGGCTATAATATTTGGAAGAAACCATTGCTGTGATCTTTCTATGCATAATTAAAAGACCAGAAATATACATTTAGGAAAATAATCAAATACCACAGAGACAAAAAAATCTATATTTTCCTTACTGCATAAACAAAAGCAGAAATAGGGGAGTTTTTTTCAGTATGATCTTAGAAGCATGTAGATTTTATGACTCATTAGTAGGCAGTGTTTATATGTCTGTTCTAAAGGTTTTTAAAAATTTAACTGATGGCTATTGTCTTCATTAAGCAAGCATGTTGGATAAAAATCAAGTTCTTGGGTTGGGTGTGGTAGCTTATGCCTATAGTCCTAGCACTTTGGGAGGCCAAGGTGGGAGGATTGCTTGAGGCCAGGAGTTTGAGATAAGCCTGGGCAACATAGGGACACCTGGTCTTTACAAAAAGTAAAAAAGTCAGCTGGGCGTGGTAAAAGTCAGCTACCCATCTGCAGTCCCAGGTACTATGGAGGCAGAGGTGGGAGCATAGCTTGAGGCTGGGAAGCGAAGGCTGCAGCAAGGTGTGATTGTGCTATTGCACTCCTGCCTGAGTGACAGCACAAGACGTGTCTTGAAAAAAAAAATTCAAGCTGTTTTTAAAAGCAATCTTAGTATACATATTAGGATAAAAATTACTGTTAAACCTGACAGAAAACCAAACCAAACCAAACCAACTTTCTTATTGGTGAAAAGAGAACATGTATATGTTTTATTTCTTATACTAGTAATTACTGGAGGTCTTGAAAATAACAGAATAAATATGTAAATAAAATTGTAATACTTTGCAAACATCAAGAGACATTGTTCCACGTTTTCACAAATCATTCAATATGATCTTCAGTAAGCTATAGAGGTACATTGAAATGACATGCTTCCCAACAGCCACTTGTGAGGTTTAAATGATTCAAGGGTTGTCAGGGAGTATTGACGGGAAGTGAGTATGCAGAAGGCACTTCCACATTGACAGCTCAGGAATGACTTGGACCTAATTTTAGTTGGTTTCTGTCCAGAAATAAATGAAAAAGATCTTTGTGTAGGATGAAACCTCTTATCTTTGGGATTCAAAGAGAAAACTATAATAACTAGGATTAGGCTTAATCTACAATCATCATAGTAATTACACCAGTGAAACAAAATGCAGAGTGCAAGATATCATCCCCTTTATCCTGCCAGGCTTCGCAGCTGCTAGCCCTTCAGATCCACCCATTGTGAAAGTAACTCAGAGAGAAAGAAGTAATGATTGAACTAGAAGTGAAGTGCTTACTAAATCACTATTCAGAAGTGAGCAACCACCTAGGAAAGTCATCACCTTTTGAGTTCCAACACTAACCACATGGATCCTGAGAAAATGGTACAATGGCAATACCATGAGACACATTACCCAGTGACGAAAACATTTGATTATTTCAGTCAGCAACTATTTAATGAGTGTACTTTATTCCACTCATTGCTCTTGGTGCTGGGTTGTTTAACAGTGTGAACCAGATAGCTCAGGTCCTGGCCCTCATGGCAGAGACAGTCTTGCTGAGGGAGAAATCAATAATAAAAAGCAATTATATTATAATATCTTCAGAAGAGCACTGAAGTGGCACCTAATCTAGAACACAAAAGGGGTTCTGAAAGAAGTGTACTATGTATGAATGTCACATGTGGCAGTCACTATCATTAGATGAACTGATTCTGTGTTGGCTGGGTGGAGGCGATTCACTAGATATACAGAAATAGGTGTGGAAGGAAGAAGGGGAAATAAAATTTTAAAAATCTTGCATAAAAATTAGCCTGTGCACAAAAACTATAAAACTCATTTAAAAAATCTGATGCTAAGGAAGAAAGCCAAAATAAAGATGAACATAAACCAAACAATCAGAACATGAACTCATTCTGATTAGTTAATTTGAGAGAAGTCTGAGAAAGAATTTGAAATAATTGTTTAAAAAATAGAAAGTGTGAGATGAAACCAGAGAGGAATAAAATAATGTACTGGTAAATAAAAATGATCCAACCAAATATGATGGAAATAAAAATTTAGTCAATGAAACAAAAATGCAATGTATGGGACATACTCTAGAATGAACATAGTCAAAAAGAATAGTAAACTTGAAGAGGACTGAAGGATATCCACTATTCAGCACAAATAAAATATATGGGAGAGGAATTAAGAAACATGAAAGATGAGTTGAGTTGCTCCCATATTCGTTGAATATGAGCTTCTGAGAGGGAGGGGATATTAGAGAATCGATAAATGAGAGATAACTGTTAATACCATTTCTAGAATTTAAGATTATCATTCACATATTAGAAGAATACTCTTGAGTATGAAACTATATAAATAAAAATAAATTCACTTTTAGACATATTATAAGGAACTACGTTATTAAGAATAAAGGACACTCTTCAAAGCTATCAGAGAAAATATACAAATCATCTAAAAGTTAACAACAATTAGACAAACAGCAGCCTTTTGCTCTGGACAATTGATGCCAGAGAAAATGCAATAATATCTTACAAGTGCTGAGGACAGATATAAGTATACTTAGAGTTCTATACACAAAAATCACGCAAGAATGAGGACAAGGTAAAGAGAATTTGAGATGCATAGAAGGCAAGAGAAATTTATCATTCATAATTCCTAAAAATTTTTTCTTTGGCAAGAAAAAAGGTGAATGCAGAGGGAAAATGTAGAGCATGAGAAACAACAGTGAACACAGAAATTAATAAAATATGTTGACCAATGTAATCAACTATCGATTACAAAAAATGCTTTCTTTGTTTAAAAGATAAGTGAAGCTCTATATAAAAATAACCAGATGTGGAGTTGTTCCAGGGTTCAAAATATGTTATACTCAATGTTTTAATTATAAATAGAATTGATGTACTAAATAATTCTAGATTGTGTTAGAAAACTTTTTGGTTAAGTTTCAATCTTAATATGCTAGAGGGAATCACCAAAATAATAGCAATGTAATTTACAGCTTTTAAATTAACAGAAGGAAAAACTAAAGGTAAAAAAATAATCAATCCAACAATAGGCAGGACAGTAAGGAAAGGACCATGAAATAAATAAAAAGAAAGCACAAAATCAGATGGTGGAAATAAGTCCAAATATACCAGTAATGCCATAATCTTAATAAACGTACATGACTAAACTCTCACTTTTTAGAGTGCGGTGGCTCACACCTGTAATCCCAGCACTTTGGGAGGCTGAGGCAGGTGGATCACAAAGTAAAGAGATCGAAACCATCCTTGCCAACATGGTGAAACCCCTTCTCTACTAAAAATAAAAAAATTAGCCAGGCATGGTGGTGCGAGTGCCTGTAGTCCCAGCTACTCGGGAGGCTGAGGCAGGAGAAACGGTCGAACCTGGGAGGCGGAGGTTGCAGTGAGCTGAGATTGAGTCACTGCACTCCAACATGGTGACAGAGAAAGACTCTGTCTAAAAAAAAAAAAAAAAAAAAGAAGTTGTATTATCAAGTTGTTACAAAATTCCTTCTGCTTTACTTTGCATCCAAGAGAAATTCCAAAACCAAGTGACACTGAAAGGTTGAAATTCTAGGGATGCCAAAAGATCTAATGTGCAAATATGAATTAAAGTTGGGGTCCTCAAATGAGACAGAACTTAAAGTTTAAAAAAGGATAAAGGGATACTCTCTAAAATAATTTTAAAAAGAAATTATCTTCCAAGATGTCACAACAATCAATAAATAAGTGTATATATAACAGATCACTTTCAAAAATACATAAAGCAAGAACTAAAAGGAATAACCAGCAAATCCTCATTCATAACAAAACTGATAGATTAAGAATATAAAAACAAGATCAAGAAATAAGAAACATCGAAAAGCAAAATTAATTCCATCTCTAACTCTCTATATGCATACATTGTATGCATAGATGTATCTCTATATGTCCATCTATATATCTATATATCATCTCCAATAATAGAGAATATATATTTTTCTATTTTTTTGACCACAAGTCAGTTAAAAAAAAGCTAGTTGAAAAATTGCCATGTATTTGGAAATATTAAAGTGTATTTCCAAATAACTTATGGGTTAAGGAAGAAAACACAATTTAAAAGTTGTACAAAAGTAAAAGTAGTACATATCAAAACTTGTAGGAGGCAACTAAGGCAGTATTTGAGGTAACTATTAAAAAGAAAAAATTGTGAAAATAAATGATTCATGTTCCATTTTGGAAACTAGAAAAATAAAAAACAGAATAAATTAAGATTAAAAATGATTAAAAGGAACATTAAAGATGAGAACAAATACTACTGAAGTTAAAAAACCCCCAAACATAGATCAACATAATCCAAAACCAGTCATTTGAAAGAACTAATTCAATGGAGAAACTTTTAGAAGGACTAATCAAGAAAAAAAGGATACAAATGAATATTTATGATGTTCGTTATGCTTGCTGTCCTGTGGGCAAAAAGTCTTTTAATTCTGACCCTGGAGTCTTACATCTTTTGCTGGCACCCATGAAATTGTGGCAGGCTAACTTGTTAACTTGCAAATAGGTTAAAATACACCATGGAATACTATGCAGCCATAAAAAGGATGAGTTCATGTCCTTTGCAGGGACATGGATGAAGCTGGAAACTATCATTCTCAGCAAACTAACACAGGAACAGAAAACTAAACACCACGTGTTCTCACTCATAAGTGGGAGTTGAACAATGAGAACACATGGACACAGGTAGGGGAACAACACACACTGGGGTCTGTTGGGGGTGGGGAGCTGGGGGAGGGATAGCATTAAGAGAAATACCTAACGTAGATGATGGGTTGATGGGTGCAGCAAACCACCATGGCACGTGTATATCTATGTAACAAACCTGCACGTTCTGCATATGTATCCCAGAACTTGAAGTAATTAAAAAAAAAATCTCACACCCTTCACTGTTCTTGACAAAACATAGGACTTTCATTAACAGCTGCAGATTTGGCAAGATCCAAAATTTATTCATGATAAAATTTTTTTTATAGCAAACTAGGAATCAAAAGGAACTACCTTAACCTACTAAAGCATATATAGAAAAAACCTATAGTAAACATATGTAATGATAAGATTTTAGAATTATTTCTACTTAGATGGGGATCAAGACAAAGAATTCTGCTATCATTACTTCTAGTCAGGCTTATATTGGGTGTCGTAGACAACGAAATAAGACAAGACAAAGCAATTAGAGGTATAAGAATTAAAAAGGAACTGAAAACTGAGATTAAAGAGAAAAAACTCAAGGTAGTCTACAGGCAGACTAATAAAATCAGTAAGAAGTTTCAGCAAGTGACCTAGCCTTATGAGCAGACTTAGGGGAGAGAAAAAGATGGAAATCAGCTTTCCCCTGGGAATATTGTTTCCCCTCACCCACACTTTAGCAAAATAGTATTCCAACCTTCCAGCCACTATAACTTCCCTTTTAAAATGCATTCCAATTTAGTAGGAAAAGTGAACATCCTTTATATCACGGAAATGCATTATACTTACATGGCTTATGTGACATTTTAGAATTTTATTCCAAGTGAAAAATGATGTCAACAAGATTTAGATTCAAATCCTGTAGACATTAGTTGAATACCTACTGTACCTTTGATCTGCAAGTATAAGCAGTATTTCTTGAAAAAGAAAATTCCCTCATAAGATTTTGAATAGTCCTTATAATAATAATCAGTTTCAGTGAAATATTACCTCTGTTAAGATATATGAAGTATCACTGGAATTGCACTTTTGGATGACAACCTGTCAAGTTTTCACCCATTCTCTTAGGCAGAAAATTCCTTTGTAAAACAACTTCAGTGAGAAGTTACAATGGTATATAGACACCATAGTATCTTCCAATACCTTTGCCTGTAATAATTATTACATTAAATTATTAACCATTTTGCCTGGTTAATAATTATTTTCAGTTAGATTTTATAGGGAATAAATAGAGAAATATTTTCTTTCTGAAACACTGTGAAATGTTATGGTAATATACAGCTTGAGTTTCTGAAGATCTTTACTGTCCTGGACTGGCTTGGTACCATGTCCAAGGCAACCATCTGTACCATTGCCTCACTCATTTTAAGGGCTGCCAATTCTTCTGGCTGAGGATCCTTTCAACCTTTAAGATAGTTACTAATAAGTCCCAGCACTGGATAGGGGCCAAGACATGCTTTTTTATTTTTCTTCATTATTAGTTCTTTGGCAGAGGTAGGAAGGGCAGGGTAGAGTCTCTGGGGAATGAGTGGTTATGTTCAGTTTATTATTATTTTTTTCCATTCTGTTATTTCTCTCTCTTTTTAGTTTGGATTTTTGTTTGCTCTTTGGAAAAGAGCCTAAAATGGTATTGGATTGTACCTTCTGTTCTTGTAGATGTATTTGCTTGTTCATATGAGATGAAAAATGTACAGTATTTTTGTCTCCTTTATAAAATTCCAGATACATGATAATCAATTGAAATTTTAAAATTCAGAACATTTTATCAGAACTAGAAAGATTACTTTCTTTTAGCAACTTGTTTCTTTTTACGACATGAGCTGTAGATGACCATAGCCTTTGTAATCTGCTTCCTCTTCTCTTGTCTTTCCTCTCCACGGAGCATTGGCCTGTTTTGTGATTGTTCCTCTTGGAGCTTGACACTTGGTGTGTTTCAGGTGTGTACACCTTAATTTAAGCCTCTTTTACCCTCTGATCTTTCTTTGATGCCTCCAATCTCTTGGTTTTAGAATTCTTAAAATATGCTCTGAGATCCATTTTTCCCTGTTAATTTTTATATCATGTGGGTACATTGATAAAGATGTCATTCTTATATAATCAGTTTTGTAGTGATTGAAATGCTAAACGTAATTATTAAGGTTCTGCTATGTGTCAAACCCCAGGCCTGGTGTGGAGGACACACAGATGACCCAGGCAGAGGCTCTGCCCAGGGATTCACTAGTCCAATGGGAGAACCACGGAGCTGACAACGTGAAGCTGGGTTTTAGACCCAGTCTGTGAGGATAGGGAAACTTTTCTGCAGGGGTTAGACCTAAACTGTATCTTAAAGGATGAGAAGAGGTTATTTTAAGTAGGGGAGAGGAGTTGGGTAGAGGGCACTACAGGCAGAGGGGACAGCTTGAGCAAAGTGGTAGGAGGCGCTTGCTATTTGAGACATTTGAGGAATGGCATCTGGCTTAGTCTTCCTGGTTTCGAAAGAGCATGAGGTGAAGCTGCAGAGCCAGAGGGGTACCAGTGCCTTGAATACTATATGTATGCCATGGTTCTCAAACTTTGATATACATCTGGCCTTTTGCCACTAATGTACTATTCATAAGAACTCAGCCAGGAATATCATGTTGCATAAGGAGAGCAGGCCATTCTTGATGAGAAATCACTGTGAGAACTGCCCTTTCTTTGAGACTTACCTTAGGAAATAGTCATGCTTTTTGGAGGAAAAAACGAATTTTCAGATAACCAAAATTTAAATGTAGGCAAGAAAGGTTTCCCTTGTTGAATACAAGTAGATTGCTGACATCATTCTCAGTTAAAACTAAATTTAACTCTTTCTTTAAGAAGCTTCATCCAATGTCATCTATGCAAAAAATTCCCACAAAGGGATACTTACAATATAACTTTAATTAAGAAGTTTTGTTTACGCACTTAATGAAATTTTGTCAAAGCATACTTTTTGAATTGTATTTATTTTTATGGCTCATTTTTTACTATTTTTAAGACCTCAAGTTGGTTTCTAGCAATTAAGCATACACTAAAATTTGGCTTCACCTGTAGTATTTGGCCAAATCTGCTATTCAATTTTTGCTATGAGATGAGCCTTTGAGGGTGGGTTAAGGGCTGCATGCCTACTTCAATGTCATTTCTAGTATCTTTGAATTTGTCTGCATGGTTAATGATCATGTGACTGCACTGGATAACATAAACTCTAAACATGTAAAAATGTCAATAATATGAATAAAGAATATCTTTAAATTTGTAGTTATCTTTAATTTTAATTTTTATTTTAATGTATTCCTAATTCCTAGAAACAAACTTGATTCTTAAAAATAGTTAAAATTTGTCATAAAAATAAACAATACAATTCGCAAAATTTAATTTAATTTAATCTTAATTTTTAGAGACAGTGTCTTGCTCTGTCACATAGGCTGGAATGCAGTGGCACTGTCATAGCTCATTGTAACCTCAAATTCCTGGGTTAAAGGGATTTTCCTGCTTCAGCCTACAGAATGGCAAGGGAATGTCACCACATCTGGCTAATTAAAGCTTTTTTCTGTAGAGACAGTGCCTCACTATGTTACCTAGGCTGGTCTTGAACTCCTGGCCTCAAGTGATCTTCCTACCTTGGCCTCCCAAAGTGCTGGGATGACAGGCATGAGCCACCACACCTGGCCCAGTTAATATCTTAATATTCACTTTTCATCAACTAAGCAACCTAAATGTAACTTAGTGAAGTATTCTTACACACTTCATATGTTGAGCTCTATCAGTCACTTGAAGTATAAAGTAAAATATAAATCATGAATTGTAGATTGTTATAGCTGTTAATTTAACTTTACATAAACACTCAAGATTTTTCTTATGGTTGAATAAGGAGCAAATATATAGATTATGATCATGAATTTATAGCATATGATAGCTAGATAACTTTAAGAAGAAGATTATTTTTGACCTGAGACATTTAAAAAAATTAAATAATAAGCTATTAGGAATTATACCATAATTCAAATCATTGTAGAATTCTTATATTTAAGTAATATCTTTAAATAATATAACTTTTAAGAACTGTATTTAATATTTAGTTACTTAATTCCATTTAGGCCACAAGTCTTTCAAGAAAAAGTCCTTATTGGCAATTTTTCATATCTCATAAGGATAAGTGAAAGCCATAATATGTCACTTTAAATTTCATTAATGAAATAATTTCCAGAATATGAACAAAATTATCAGTGATAAATTATCTTTGTTCAGATTTAATAAAGAATATAGAGTAGTTGAAAAAAAAAAGAAGAAAGCGTAAGAGAGTAATGAGGTGCTTCAAAAATATCAGGTCAACCTTAGCTGAAAGTGAGCATCTTTTTGTTGTTACAATGTGCTATAGTGAATGACCTCCGGGAAAAATCTAGTAGTTGGCATAGCTGAAAATTTATTTTTTAATATTATACTGTAGTACTTGGCAAATTTAATTACATTTTTTCATAAAATTATAGTAATAATTTTTGGATATAAGTTAGGATTTATTTCCATATTCTAGAAGTTCATTTTTTGATGATGATATTCATCTTTGGCAAAATATTGATTTTAATACTCAGCCACTTAGTATTTGGACAAAATATGTATTTGGTGCTCTTTACTAGGAATGTAACTAATTCAATTTATACCTATTGAGGTAGAATTTATAGAAGCTCAACTTTCAAATGCTACCTGTCAACAGACTGGGTCTTAAGTTGTGGGTTTCCTGTATCTATAATCCATACAAAAAACTCTCAAAGGGAATCTGACAGACTATGAAACTGGGTCTCAGAGACATTAGGTGTTTTACTCAAAGACACTCCTTGGTAAATGACAGATTCACATACAAATCTATTAAATTTCAAAGATTGCATTCTTTTTCATTACACTGCATCCATCTTCTACATATCTCTATTGTTGCTTATAAGTATTAATTGTATTGTAAATATTGTAAGCATTGTTAATAGTTACTATATTAACTGTATTATAACTATTGTTAATATGTCTGCATTTTCTGCTAAACTCAAGATGAGAACCGTATCTTACTCATCTAGATATACCCAGTATCTAGCACAGTGTCTGGCATATAGTAGATACTGATTAAATTGTTGAATAAATAATGTATTGGATACCTAATATATGGGAATATGGATCCCTATACTTTCAATTTATAGATGAGGATACTGAGACTCAGAGAGACTGAGTGTTATCCTCAACTTTACATAGTCTATTATTAGTAGAGAAGATTCAGATATTTGAATCAAATTCCATCCTTTCTATATACCTATGTACTTACTACCTTTGATGCTAAAGTGACAGCTTTTTGTAAATTAGAGAGGCTAATCATTATTTCATATGATCATAGTGCTGATCTGATTTAATAAAACAAAATAAGAACTTTGCTTGAAAGACAATCTTGGGACTTTTCTCCTTTCTTTTGTGTCTCCTTTAGATGACATGTGTTAACGGGCTAATGTATTTTCCTTTTACTTTAATGTTGAAGACAGTCTTTAACTAGGCACAGTGCCTGGCCATCCATGGAGGGCACGTACTGTGTTGAATGAATTCTGGTATCAGCATATTCTTGCCCGAATCATCCCAAGTAATTAGTTTCATGGAATGTTGCCTGGTTGGCATATTCACACCCCTGTCTTCTCATTCCTAACATTTCCAGAAATGCTTGTCATACAGGATAGGTACAATTAGGATAGAATAACATTTTAATACAATACTTGCTATGTTCAGTCAAAGCTCTCCACATTCATGCCTCTGCATTTCTGATCCTGGGAATATCTGACAGTCTGCAAGATGGCCGAAGATAGCAGAAGTTATTCTATTCAGACTTCCTGCCCTGTATCAACAGGCTCTTCTGCCTGTGGCTTCTGGTTAGATTGACCCAACGTCCTTTTTCCTCCCACCCTGACCCCAGCAGAAGATTAAGGCAGTCGATGCTCTATGACTCTGCTGTCCAGTCCAGGAGCCACCACCACTTGTGGCTATTGAGCACTTGAAATGTGGCAAGTCCAAAATGAGATGCGCTGTAAATATAAAATATGCACTCAACTTTGAATACTGGATGTGAATAAAAGACTGTAGAATACCTCATTAATACATTTTCTATCAATTAAATGTTGATGTGACATATTGGATTAAAATAGGTTATGAAAATTAATTTTTCTTGTTTATTTTTAGAAAATGTGGTTTCTAGAAAAGTTTAAATGACATTTTTGGGCCTCATTATCTTTCTGTGAAACAGCACTGGTCTATGAATTCTTCCCCTGCTGGGCACTTGAAACTTTGCTCTCTCCTCATCCCTTCAGTACTAGATGTGGTAGCAGCTCTCCTGCTGCTAGTTCTGGATTCCTGCATTAACCTTAGCAATTCCCCATAGCCTACCCACCCCTTAATATTGTAATTAGCTTTTTTGTAAATAATCCTTCCTGGAATTATACCTAATAACTCTGTTTCTGTTGGGACCCTGACTGATACAATGACTATCTGAAACAGGCTGGGAGATGATCAGATTAATTACGGCCTCTACCTTTGGCTGCAGAAATTATTAGAAACAAAGCATTATCCATCTATTCTTATCTAATTTAAAATGACTATAAAAGATAGTAATGTGAAAGTATTTTTATTATTTTGTTGTTTACATTATTATATTTATCTTCCTCCCCAGCCCTCATTTTGATTAAACCTATACCCTTAATAAGAATAAAAAGATTCGAAACTGATGTTTTGCTGTATAGAAAACCATTAGCTCAAATGTTTTTTAAACATATAAAGCCTCCTTTGGTATTTGTCTACCCAATCATATCTAAAACATTGATAAGGCCAAGAAAATGGTTTGGGAGGATAATATAATAATACTAATGATAGTACTACCACTACTAATAATACTAACCTCACTTTTGCATATATAATATTTCTGATCATTGTAATTCAGATCAGATTGTGTGTGTCATAGTAAACAGAAATATAAGAGGAAAAATAGGATGGAGGATTGGGATAAAATTAAATAATTTCTTTATCCATCCCTTCAGCAACAATGATACCACACATTCTGTTGTAGCTTTTGTAGAAGTAAGAGCCATTTGTGATTTAGTTCACAGTAGGAAATTAGAAATGGTGATTCCAGTAGCCTCAATACTTACTTCTTAAAATACTTCTCAATTTATTTTTATCACAATAAAATTTGCCTAGAGATAATTTTTTATTTCTAGGATCACCAAATGTTTTTGTGGGGAATTTATTTTATTGTTCCAAGTTGACACAAGAGGAAAAATTCTGGATGTGAAAATATTTTGCCATTGCCTTTGTATAGGCTAGTCACTTTCCAGCTCTGTTCTCAGGAACTCCAGGGTTCCCTTGCTTAGGGGAATGCAGAGCATGCAGGAAGGAGGCCACACAGGTTGGGTTCCAGCCCCTTCACCTCACTGCCCTCTCCTTTAGCTAGAGTACCTCTGACTTTACACACTTAAGACCCACATGTTTAAAAAAAGGTTAACTTGGCTCAAAAACATTTAAATTCCCTGCTGTGAGAACAGTCCTCTACCTTCTCCTCATTCTCTTCCTTCTTATTCCAGTAAAACATCACCTGGAATTTGGTAAGTCAGGAGCAATTTTCTGTTTTATAAATGAGGAAACAGGTTCAGAAAGTTGAAGTGAGATTGCCCAAGGTCACAGAAAAAGAAAAGTAATTGGATGGACCTAGATCCAGGTCTCCTACTCAAATTCAGAGTTCTTGGCCATTTACTGCAGTGCCTCCCCCTCTGGAGTGACACTGATCCATGTGAAACTGAGAAAGCCATCAGAAGGGGGATCTAGATGAAGACATTTCTTAATGACACTACAGCAAGTAACCGAACACAAACACAAATCAGGACTTAATTGCTTATGTTGTAAAGTACTGGATTGCCCCTTCAAGGCACCTGCTGTATTAGACCACATCCTTCCAAAAAGGTCTTATGCCTTGCAGGTCAAAGTCTTCTCTTCCTGGAACAGGGTCACCTGCTGACAATTATAGCTGATTGGATTAGAGATGGGAAGGAGTCTGGCAGGGCAACTGTAACCATGTGGAGTTCTACCTCTTGGTTGGGGAACGGCTGATTCAATCAGGTTCCTTCCCTTCAAGAGTTTGAATAATGAAACATATGGACAGTGGCAAGAAAACTCACAGAAATAAGGTAGTATGAAGAAACCATAAAGTAGAGAGAAGGAGATAACAGTTAACCCATTGAACAGGAGAGTTGAGAAGCTGAGTCAGAGTTTTTGAGTCATTTGTGGTACCCTAAGAATCCATAGTGCTTGTGTCTCCCCATCTCTGTTCTGTGATCGTATGTTTTATCTTGAAATTGGTCATCATGGGGGTTTTTACACAACAGAAACTGGGAAAAACCTCAAATCAGGGATCACCCCTCACAGAATCTGTTGTTAAACCATTTATTAGCACACCGCCATGCAAAGCACTTGAGTAGGCAGTGATGGATGCCTCTTAGGAGGGAGTGGTTATGGGAGTTCCTACTGGGTTGCTGGAGCTACTGCTGTGTATGCAGAGGCATCCTAATGTCTGTGAGCAGTATGGAACATGAACTGCTGGCTGTGTGGACATTATCTTCCTTCCTTCCAAGCTCTAACTCTCCATTTAAGGTAGCTCAAACATCTCTGCTTTTACAGGCTAAAAGAGCTTAACTGTCTTCATGGTGCCGAGCAACTGATTTAGCTGATATTCACACCTCTATTGGTGCTTTGGCATCATTTTTACCTGGGGATTCCAACCTTTTAAAACTCAGTGTGGATATACTAGTATACTGATCCAGTTAGAAAATTCACAGGATTTCCTTCGTCAAATATAAAAGCCAGCAGGGCTTTGTTTTTGAACGATCAGTGTTAGCAAGGTTCTTGCTGTGTTTATTCTCAACCTATGAAATAACCTTCAGCGTGCCAATGTGTTTCCTGGGTTTGTTTCTGACAATTATTACAATAGAAAAAATTACTAAGACCGTGTTGGTGGTGTTGGGAATCACATTTTTTATTAAGAAAGTCATGCCTATCAGTCTAAGTCAGGCTGTGAGTCTTCTCCCCCATGAGGGCTCCTTCCTTCTCTCTTTGTTTTGTCTTCCTCACCTTGTTAACATGTCTGACTCAGCTCTCCTGCTCTAGGAAGCCTTCCCCAATATTGCATTAAATGCAGTGATCTCTATTTTTGTCTTTTCTCTGTTTTCTTAATGCATTCCCATTCACCTTTCTCAATATGTTCATATTTAAGTGGTTCTTAAGTGTTTTTCATGTCTATAGTGTTTATTGCTCCAGTTAAATGACAAATTGCTTGGTGATAGAGAAACTACTTTTCTTTTTCTTTTGCTGCTGTCTATAGGTAATGACCAATGTGTGGTTATTAAATAATTAAAAGAAAACATTTATAAATTTTTTAAGCATTTATTCAGTGCCTCATATAAGCAAGACATGTATTCTATATTAGCTCAATAAATCTTTAGAGCAATTCTTAGAGGCAGATATTACCATACCCATTTTACAGATGAGGACATTGAAATTCAGAGTAGTTAACTAATTGCTTAAGGTTATATAGCCAATGCAACTGGGAATGTATCACCACCGTTCTACCTTTGGGAAAAGATTGGTTTTCTTTAATTCTCTTCAAGTACAGATAGTTTTCCCTACACGAAACCGGCATCCCATGTGAAAAAGAGACAATTATGATAGGAGACACAGAGTCTTGGGTCTCAAGTGATCTCATTCCCTGGTCAAGCCTCCTGTGTTTCTTCCCTTCCTTTAGACTGGGTGACACTTTGCCAGTATTTTCCTTTGATTACTGCAAATAGGGTTTCTGCTTCAGAGTCTGGGCCTCTGTTGGCCCACCCTGCTTTGGGTACCTTCCACAAAAGTTTCTAAGTCCTTCTTTGAAGCCTGGGCCTGGCCAGGTCTGGCAATGCCAACTGAGCAGGGCACCATGGGGCTAGACTGGAATCTACGTGGGCCTTGATCCTAGCTCTCTTTTGGGGCACTCTTTGACCCTCTCTGCTGCACAAGGATTCAGTCAAGGAGCTCTGGGATTCCTGCCTATGAAGTTGTCCCAGGGCATCATGACTGAGCCCAGTCTTAGGAGGGCAGCCTGCTGAGAAGATGGCTCTTGTTGGTTGGCATGGTATTTTTTTTTAACGAAATTGCCAGGATGGTGCTGATGGATTGATTTTGGGTAATTTTCATGTCAAACACAGGATGGAGAATTTTACATTCATTGATTAGATAATAAACAAATACAAAAGTACCTCTTCTCTACCCATTATTGTAAATGTTTATTGATAAGTTACTATACTCACATGAGTCCATGAATTTTGTAATATACTTTAAGTCAGATTCTTATATAGGCAGAGCCACTTTACAAAATATTTGCCTGGGGCTCTGCATACTCTAGGCATAGCTTTACCCTTTAGGGAAGAGTAGCCTGGCTCTCCTCTCATTCTAAATAGGAAGCAGATTTCTATCTATCTATTGTGGCTTTAGCTTTTGAATTCCAAAATCTTTGGCTTTTCTTTTTTTTTTTAAGGCATTTGATTTTATCGCCAAATTGCTCATTAGAAATGGAAACAGCTTCTAGCAAGGTATAATCTTTAGGACTATGTAAATTTTTTTAAATTATACTTTAAGTTTTAGGGTACATGTGCACAAAGTGCAGGTTAGTTACGTATATATACATGTGCCATGTTGGTGTGCTGCACCCATTAACTCGTCATTTAACATTAGGTATATCTCTTACTGCTCTCCCTCCCCCCTCCCCCTACCCCACAACAGGCCCCGGTGTGTGATGTTCCCCTTCCTGTGTCCATGTGTTCTCATTGTTCAATTCCCACCTATGAGTGAGAACATGCGGTGTTTGGTTTTTTGTCCTTGTGATAGTTTGCTGAGAATGATGGTTTCCAGCTTCATCCACGTCCCTACAAAGGACATGAACTCATCATTTTTTATTGCTGCATAGTACAGAATGGGAGAAAACTTTTGCAATCTACTCATCTGACAAAGGGCTAATACCCAGAATCTACAATGAATTCAAACAAATTTACAAGAAAAAAACAAACAACCCCATCAAAAAGTGGGCAAAGGATATGAACAGACACTTCTCAAAAGAAGACATTTATGCAGCCAAAAGACACATGAAAAAATGCTCATCATCACTGGCCATCAGAGAAATGCAAATCAAAACCACAATGAGATACCATCTCACACCAGTTAGAATGGTGATCATTGAAAAGTCAGGAAACAACAGGTGCTGGAAAGGATGTGGAGAAATAGGAACACTTTTACACTGTTGGTGGGACTGTAAACTAGTTCAACCACTGTGGAAGTCAGTGTGGCGATTCCTCAGGGATCTAGAACTAGAAATACCATTTGACCCAGCCATCCCATTACTGGGTATATACCCAAAGGATTATAAAACATGCTGCTATAAAGACACATGCACACATATGTTTATTGTGGCACTATTCACAATAGCAAAGACTTGGAACCAACCCAAATATCCAACAATGATAGACTGGATTAAGAAAATGTGGCATATATACACCATGGAATACTATGTAGCCATAAAAAATCTTTGGCTTTTGAAGATTAAAAAAGAAAACTTTGACTTTTAAGAATATGGTTTCTGGAAGGGGAAGACAGAGTCGGGAAGGAAATATTGAAAGCCAAAAAACTTACACTGAAGTACATTATATTTCAGTATGCTATGGTTTGGATGTCCTTGCCAAAACTCATGTTGAAATTGAATTGCCATTGTGACAGTATTGGGAGCTGGGACCTTTAAGAAGTGATGAAGTCAAGGGAGCGTCATCCTCGTGAATGGATTAACTGTAGTGGGAGCTGCTTTGTTATAAAAGTAAGGCGTCTTTCACATGGGCTCACTTGCCCTTCCACCCTTCAGCCATAGGATGACCCTTGCCGGATGTTGGTACCATGCTTAGACATCTCAGCCTCCAGAACCATGAGCCAAGTAAATCTCTGTTCTTTATAAATTACTCAGTTTGTAGCATTCTGTTATAGCAGCAGAAAATGGACTAAGACACAGTATTACAGTGAAATATATCATATCTTACATATATAGTGGAATGTACCATGCTATTGCATTACAAACCAGGCTGGTGTGATTACAAAGATTGTGCTCCTTATGTCTCATGACACGGATGCCAACTTTATTCTAAGACTTGTGGTGTAACTTAGGGCAAATCATGAAAGTTTTCTAAACCTCAGTTTCCTCATCTAAAAAGGAGGATAAGAATAGTGGTTTTCTTCTAGAGTTAAAAATTAAATTATTTTGTCTTATATTTGTAAAAGGAAGTTTTGATCAACACTGCATTTTTGGTAAGCACAGTTTTAGGCCTCACTTCAGTGTCACAATAATCTTTGCACCTGGTGCTCAGTGCTGGGGTATGTGCAGTAGGTACTCATTGTTGCTTCATAAATGAATGAACAAGTCCATTGTGAAGGATGAGCCAGTGGGAAAGCACAAAGACAGAGAGATGAAATTTCTTAGCAGTCATTGCAGAGTATATGAAAATGACATGAAAGTCCTATTCAGCTACCAATTTGCAGGAAATACAGGGGATGGGAGAACAAGTGAAACAACACTACAAGGAAGCAATTGGCAAGATCCAGACTGTGAAAAACCCTATGGTTTGTTTAAAAAATGAATTCCAAGAAGGAAAAAAAGAATAGCAACCTGGATTAAAGAGACATGAGACCTACTGGCTAGTCACAATGTATGAAATATGCTGGAACCTTTTTAAACATTTTATTTTATTTACTTTTAATTGACAAATGAAAATTGTATATGTTGGCTGGGCACAGTGCCTCATGCCTATGATCCCAGCACTTTGAGAATCTGAAGTGGAATGATTGCTTGGGGCCAGGAGTTCAGGACCAGCCTGGACCACATAGGGAGATCCCATCTCTACAGAAAACTTAAAAATTAGCCAGGCATGGTGGTACCTGGATATAGTCCCAGCTGCCCTAGAGGCTGAGGCAGGAGGATTGCTTGAGCCGAAGAGTTCGAGGCTACAGTAAGCTATGATGGTACTACTGCACTCCAGTCTGCGTGACACAGCAAGACCCCATCTCTATTTTTTTAAAACGTATACATTTATTGTGTACAACATGATGTTTTGAAATATGTATACATTGTAGAATAGCTCAGTTGAGCTAATTGACATATGTTGAACAGTAACTGGATATTTGTGAGTGTTAGGTAATGACTATGAATTCTAATGTAATAATGGTATCGGGTAAAAATTTTTGGAATCCTGCAATATTTATGGATGAATTGATAATATGAGATTTACTTCAGTAATCTGGGACTTGGAGCATTGGTGTGTTATAGATAAAACAAGATTGACCAGAACTATTGCAGGAAGGTGGTGCCTATGTAGAGGTTTATGCTATTCTTTCATCTTTTATGTGTTTGAAACTTTCCATAATAAAAAGTAAACATGTAAATTATAAAAAGAAAATAAAAAACAAAAATAGAAAGTTCCATTAAAAACAATTAAGTGTTCTTTCCATTTAGTGGTAATTATTCTTAAGGACTGTTAGGTCAGAATTTTTGATAAAATCTTATGATTACCAAATTTCCTTTTCATCATTCCTTCATATATTTTCAACCTTTTTCCTCAGTCTTTTTCATCATTCCTTCATATATTTTTTTCCCAAACTGAATTAGCTGATGAACTCTGTAGTTCTTGTACTGATGTCTTAATATGCATCAAAAGAGAAAACTTGGAACTTTTCTGCTTACCTTTCATATTAAATTTAACATAAATATAAGAAATAAAAGAACATCAGACATTGCACTTCACAGAGGCAGATGAGTGTAAAGCTCCTGTTGGGGTTAACATTCCTCCCCACCACCCCATTAAGTTTTCCCTATCACCTACCCACAGAAGGTAGGTATAAACCCTTTGCACCCTGCCTCTCCATTCCTGAAAGACCGTACCCAATGTCTGCTCTTGACCAGGGAACCCGCTGGTTGCAATGAGAGTTCCAGGTAGGTAAGCTGCTGGCCTTTGATCCCTTCCTCACCTTGTGACCACAGGCTTATGTATGGATCTGAGCTATTCCCTGTGACTCTGACTGACCACTTGGGGTTCCTATGGTTGGGTTATCTGCAAAATCCCCATCCATTTTCCTTCTTTTTGTGTACTGGTGCTACCACCTAAGATTTTATCAGAGTGGACAGGGCCTGTGGTTGGGGCAAGAAATTGAGGGCCCAACTCTGCTTGAAAACTTAATGATTTTGGATGGGTCACTTGACCTCTGTCTTCAGCTTCTTGTCTTAAAATCAGGTGTAATATTTACTTGTTCCCATGGTTGCTGTAGGGCCTAGTGACATAACTGATATATTAATAAAAGCCGAAAAGTGGTAGGATGGAATTTCACACCAAAACATGCTGTATAAAATGTTCACATGGGAAATGAATTTACTATTGAAAAAAATCTATGAATATTCCCTACAGTTTTAAAGAAAATAAGTGCATCCTTCTAGGTTAATTATCTTGCTGAGAGGAAATAAATTATAGATCCCCAAGGCCCAAATGGTTTTGCCTAGATTAGAAGACTCTACCTACTCTCCCAAAAAAGATAAATTATGTTCTTAATAATTATGAATTATAATTAAAATTGAATTTTGCCAGAGGACTCTGGTGAAATGTTGGTCTTTTAGAAATGAATTTCTTCCTGAAGTCTTAGAAAATTAATAAATATAACTAGCAGAGGGGCTAGAAGTTCTAAATATTTAATTGAAAATATTTATTGTATTTTGTTTTCATTAATATTATATAAATTTGATAAAAGTGACTATTTTTGGTTGAGCTTAGTTTATTTGCATATTTAATAGAAGGCATAATTTTATTCTATTATTGACAAATTTTGACCACAGAATTAAAAAAATAATAATATCTGTACCATATCCCTTATTTTATTTGAGAAAATACAAAACTACATTACTTTCAAATACTGAGGTTTTTCTTATATATACAGTGAAAACCTCCTCATACAAACTTCTTTACATAAGGCCTGTAAGACTTAAGTTTACATATAACTTAAAAAAATACTTCTTTTTAGTATTGTTGATATTCCTTAAATAGTTCTCGACTTCTTCCACTGAAGTAGCATGCTCTAAATAAACACAAACATGCAGGTGATGCCCTTTTTTCAGGCTTTGGTTTTCTTTTGACCTGGATCAAAGCCAAGCAAAAGGAAATTGTAAAAGTTCTGACCTTTGATGGTGATGACTGTATTAGAATGTCATCTCTGACTGTATATGAGGCTAGCCTTGGCTGCAAATCGGTGCCCATGAGAGTGGCTGAGGCTTTACTGTTAGCGGTTAGGTTTTAGGCAAAAGAGAAAATGGATATCTTGGGTTGGCTGCAAGACAAAGAAAAAAAAAAGAAGAAATGTTACCAGGTGGCACTGAATTGCATCACGCTGCATATCTTTTACTAGATTTTTGTGGCTATCAAAATTCTGTAAGTGAGTATGATGCACCTGGTTAAGATCTTCTGTAAGATGGCTGAATGTGCTATGAGTCAGTATGATCAGCACATTTAGGATGTTTTGCTTACAGAATATCTCATGGGCTTTAGGGAAATGATGATGGTCAAAATCGCTTTTGTGTTTTATGGGCACATACAATATTATCACTATCTAAAATCACCTTTTTTTGTTGCTGTTGTTGCTTAAGTCTTTGTCTCTTTTTCTTCCACTGTTATGTAAACTTTAAGAGAGCAGGGACTTTTATCTACTGCTGGATGCCTGGTGCCTAAAACAGACTGGTTCAGTAAATATTTATTGACTGACTGCCACTAGGGGTAATTACATATTTGGACTGTATACTAGAGTGAGGTAGAGTGAGGTAGGCATTACCAATAATACAGAGATAAACATAGGGTCAACTTAAAAAACATAGGGTAAAACTTAAAACAATTCTTAGTGAACTATGAGACTACACTCAAGAAAGAGTGCAGAAGAGATTCTTTTCATGAACTATGTTTGCAATAGACAAGTTCACAGCTTGAAAATTTTCTTAGTAGATGGAAGACGAGAAGGACAAAGTTTGGAAGGAAGTGGTTTGGCAGATGAATAGACAACCCATAATCAGATATACAGGGCAAAAAGGAAGTGTCTAAGGAGAAGGGAATGACTGGAGAGTGGAAGAAGAGGGAAGCAGGATAGAAAGCTCAATCTGAGTTAAGGAAACTTTGAAAGGCCAATTCCCAGAAGCACCATGATGGGATGATGTTGACCAACCAGGCCAGAAACTTAATTTTGATTTTGAAGGCAATACAAAATCAAAGGAGAGCTTTAGATATGTAAAATCATTACAGCAGAGGATTACTTTGTAGGCAATATTTGAAACTGATTTTAAAAATGAGGGAGAAGAGTGTGATTATCATCATAGAAAGTATGTTTTTTATATGTAAGGACCACATTAACCTGTATTGCAAAGTTAGGTTATTATTTCAGTCCTGATACATCACCAGAAGCTGAAAAAGTTGCTTCAACAACAAATGTGAAATGGCTGTGTTGGGCAACCACAGGTATTAAATCCGGGAAATAGAAATTGGCTATCTTTCAATATTTGTAATGAAAAATATAACTATTTTCCTTTACTTTTTCCAATCTTAATAAATCTTTACTCTAACTTCTTTTTAAGACATTTTTTATACATCTACTTCCTTTGCAAGTTTTCAATTCGTGTGTAAGACCGAAAGTATTTGAATTAAGTTTCTCTGGGGGATGATTTGAAAAAAGGAATCAAATACAACTGTTTTTTTGGCAGTATACTACTTTGGTCCTCTGATAGCTTTGTATTATCCCTTTTTTAGATTGAATTTCTTTTTAGACCAGGGACTGAGTGTAAAATCTAAATGAGGAAAAACATTTTTTAAAGCATGATAGTGTATGCATTGTAAATATAATTATATATTGTGAACCAAGACAATAGGCTTTTGATTATTTAACCTCTTTCAATGTGCAGCAATGAACTAAGAGCTACTATTTAATGGGTTTCTATATATGAGGGTTTTGCATACCTAATTTCCAGTCCTCGCAGCAGTTTAAGGAAGTACTCTGGGCCTCAGTGTTTAGACCTGTCTTCTCTTACCACCCTTTTCTTAGAATTTGGATAAACTGTGGGTCACATTAATACCTCTTAAATTATACTTTAGAATGTAAAAACCCAGTATACCATTCAGAGTCTACACTATATACTATACATGTAAAATATTAATAACTATTATCATTTATTTAGCTACACGTATGCATTATGCTAAGTGCTTGACATGCTTGACATGAATTATCAGTTTGAATTCTCCTTCGCAATCTGGGATGGTCAACATATTATGGGATGATGACAACTGGTTCTCGCAAGTTCGTGCAGCTGGGTCCTGAAACCTCTCTGACTTCAGATTCATACTCTGAGCCCTAGGATAGATTGCTTTCCATCACAGCTGTTGTTCTACTTGATTTGTTTGGTAAAGGTTCTTTCTATCTAGAATCTTTTAACGGGAGCTGAGCCATCATCTAGTCTGAGCCTTTCATGTAGTAAATGAGAAAACAGTGATTTGGAGAGGATAGGTGGCCACCAAATGTCACCTAGAGACAGCTCTGGGAATGAAACAAAGGTTTTCTCACCTCCTGTCCTGACATCTTCTGTCTCTACACTGTTTTTCTCCTGTCTTTAAGTTGGTTAGAAATGAAGCAGTCTTAGGATTATAATTTTTTCTTAAAATAGTGAATCAGTGTAAAACTACAAGCGACCAGCATTATTTAAAGACTGTTAAATGAGGTCAACGTGTCCAATTTTGCATTCCAATCACAGAGGCATGGATTCAGTATGCAGTCCGAGGCCAGGCATTCAACCTGTACAGCAGCCCTCAAAGGGTGGAAAGTAAAGGGAGACCATCAACATCAGACAATTTGTACAATATTTTCCCTGAATTTTGAGACATGGCAAGAGATTGGTTCTGTAGCTTTTCAGGTTCCTGACTGCCCCCCATTAAGGCTTTAGCATTTGCTTCTGAATTAAGCAACCACTGAATGATGCTTTATTGACAAAAGTGGCCAATCTGCTGAAACAGAGGAGTGTAAAGGATATTAATAGTTGCGTAGATACAAGAGGGACTGTACACATGTGGGCATTCACTGTCCTTACCTTAGGCTGCTTTCATAGCTGCATACTACACATGTACAGAGTTGCAAAATATAACAGTTTAACACGTATTTCAAGTAACGTTTTGTGTAGACTCAGCTAATTTCTTTTTATGTTGAATAGGACTGTTGGCAAAATGTTATCACTAAAGACTGTTTTAAAAACAGGGTTAATACAAAAACTCAAGAAATATAACTGAGGAGTATATTTATTAGTAATCTTCAGGAAGTGTCACTACTACCATATTCCTGCTGCATAGTGGGCATATTTTTCATTTTGCTTTAACTCTAATTAAGAAAACATTCTTCCAGTAGTCGAGAATACAGAAAATGTAGCACAGAGTCAGAGAGCATGGCATTGTGGATTCTGGGCATTCCTGAGTAAATAAGTGAAACATGCAGCATCTTATAGTTCTTTGCTCTTTAAAAATGCAGTGGCAGAGGTCTGCGCATTTGAGGTAACTTGTAACATATATGGAGATGAAATCAATGTCAGCTTAGACCAACAAGGACAAACACAGTGTGCGACACACAGAGGAGGCTCAGCTAAGACAAAGAGAAAAAAAATTAATTAATACCAAATCTGAACAGATATTTCCTTTAGCTACTCTTAAAGAATGGTTTTTACCAGTTTTTTGGCTAAGATGATCAGGAAATGGATAGCAGACACTCACTGTAAAAATTTTATTCATTTTTTGGTGTTAATTAGTGCTAACACATAAGTGAGTATAATTCTTATAACTGTCTGGGCTCAATCCTTCTTAGCAAGGCTGTCAGTAGTCTACTGACTCTGTGAAAGAATTCCTGCAGGAAAGGTGAGAGGCGGACTTGTCTTGGTCCCTACTTGATTATTCAGGTCAAGACTCTAATGTCTAAAGTGGCAACCTAACCTAGGGTTGGCAATGACCCATATACCATTTATATTTATGTGAATGTGCTACACATTATAAACGCAAACATTTTGGATCCAAACAGCTTAAAATTTCTTTGCAAGTAAAAAGATACAAGGATCTTTTTATTCTCTTCATTATACTGGAGGGATATCTTTTATCATTCATTATTGCCTCATGTTTTCCCAGTTTTCTTATTTTCATCTGTGCATCTATATTTATATCGCTTCTCATTATGACTTTTACAGATACAGTCTTGACTCTAAATTATTCTTAAATATTCTATGTATTTTAAAATATGTGTCATGTTACTCTTTAAGTACCTTCTTTTTCCTGAGTTTCACGGCAATCAAAGACAAAGAAAATGATGTCTGACCTGCTGTATATATCAAAACACAATATTCAGTTGGATACAAATTCGTTACTACCTTCATTTACTTTTGAAAACATGACAGAGGTTTAAGTATAAGGCATTAGTATGTTGTGGGAGATTGCTGTGTCTTCCATAGTCTACCCTGCTCTTCCTTGGCTCACGGCAGCCTAGCTAGAGAAGCTGGGAGTGGTCACTTGACTAAGTTCTCACCGAAATGTGATTGAAAGATGTGTATGACTTCCATCTCACTTGCTTGAAAGAAAGTTGCTTGTCTTGGATGCTTTCCCTTTCCCATTCATGCAAGCTGGAATCTGGATGTAACTCTTCTTGACTTCGACTTGCAATGAGGACAATGGATAATGTTTTCAAATTTCCCATGGATATTAATGTTTGGGATTCAGGATGAAGTTACCTCAGGAATTCCCCGAGTCACAAGTTATTCTATATTTTTAAAATCACACTTTGTGTGTTTTTAAATTTAGTGGGTGATCATAATAATAACAACCAAAAGTATATATTTTTAATGATAAGGTTATGCTAAAAGCTTCAGAGATTTTTTTGTTAAGAAGACATGATGATAAATACATGATTTATTATTACCATGAGCCAATATGTAGTGACAAGATTTTATACTTCTGTAGCTTATAGAAATAATCTTTACCTGATATAGACCCTGATAATGGAAAATGTTAAAAAAGGAATATTGATACAATAATAATTCCAAATCAAAATTATCAAAAAGAAAAGATATGACCACAAATATTTGAGATTTAAAAATATTTTAAAACACACAAAGCACCAACTGTCCTGATAGTCTTACAGTTTGTTTTGTGATAAATACTGAAGTTACAAAAACTTTTCTTTCATATTGTATTGACATTGTTTGAATGATTAAAATTTCATCCAAAAGCATCTTCAGTTTGATTTTTAGGGTACATGTGGCTTCACATAAGCTCATATGCTTTTTTTTTTTTATTATTATACTTTAAGTTCTGGGATACATGTGCGCAGACCGTGCAGGTTTGTTACATAGGTATACACGTGCCATGGTGGTTTGCTGCACCCATCAACCCGTCATCTACATTAGGTATTTCTCCTAATGCTATCCCTCCCCTAGCCCTGCCACAACAGGCCCCAGTGTGTGATGTTCCCCTCCCTGTGTCCATGTGTTCTCATTGTTCAACTCCCACTTAGCTCATTTGCTTTGTTAAGTGATTAAAATATTTGGCGGCCTTGCCCTGGTTTTAGTTTTGCTTTGAAATGGAGTTGCTTTTTCTAATTCAAACTTTAGATCAGTTTCTGATTTCATGTTGGAGTATTGCGTTTTGTTTTTTTTTTTTGAGACAGAGTCTTGCTCTGTAGCCCAGGCTGGAGTGCAGTGGCACGATCTCGGCTCACTGCAAGCTCCGCCTCCCGGGTTCACGCCATTCTCCTGCCTCAGCCTCCCTAGTAGCTGGGACGACAGGTGCCCGCCACCGTGCCTGGCTAATTTTTTTTTTTTTTTTTTTTGCATTTTTAGTAGAGACAGTGTTTCACCGTGTTAGCCAGGATGGTCTCGATCTCCTGACCTCGTGATCCGGCCGCCTCGGCCTCCCAAAGTGCTGGGATTACAGGTGTGAGCCACCGAGCCTGGCCTCATGTTGGAGTATTTCACAACATTCATATCTTTTTCTCTTTGCATTTTTTCTGTTAACATAATTATAAAGAATTTTAGCCTATAAGGAAGACTCAAACACTGGCATATGCCAATGAACATTATTTGAGTAGTAGTAGAATAATATAACATTGAGCTCTCCCTGCAAGCTTCAGAACTATTACATTAAATCACATGTTGAAATTGCCAAATTAAGGAATTATTTTGCTACTAAAACTTGTTATTTCTTCTAATATCATCCATAAGATTTGTACTATGTATATAAACTGATTAATATTTATTTTATTTGCAGAAATGACTCATTAGCAGGCAGGGACAGGAATAGACACTTATAACATGACAATGACTATAAAAAAGATTGGCCGGGTGCGGTGGCTCACGCCTGTAATCCCAGCACTTTGGGACGCCGAGGCAGGCGGATCACGAGGTGAGGAGATTGAGACCATCCTGGCTAACATGGTGAAACCCCGTCTCTACTAAAAATACAAAAAATTAGCCGGGCGTGGTGGTGCATGCCTGTAGTCCCTGCTACTCAGGAGGCTGAGGCAGGAGAATCGCTTGAACCTGGGAGGCGGAGGTTGCAGTGAGCTGAGATCGCGCCACTGCACTCTAGCCTGGGCGACAGAGCAAGACTCTGCCTCAGGAAAAAAAAAAAAAAAAAAAAAGACTGATTGATAGCTACCACTTTTCCTTTAGAGTCCTTCCAACCGATGATTACAAATGGTGATATGTTTTAATTATTATGGGAAAATTATGGCACATTTTCCTGGTTTTCTCACTTCTCAACTAATCTTTTTTAAGGATTCATGATTTGGGAAAACATATATATTCCTCCAAGAAATGCTAGGCAGGAGTTCCCCTTGGAAACCCCAGCCTAGGGGATAGTGGAAGAACAAGTAACCAGAGTTCCTAAATGATGTCAGGATCAAGGCTCCCGTGCCAGCTACAGTGGCTGGACAGTTACCTGAGAGGGACAAGAACTCAAGTCTTATTTAAGTCTTTTTATTTTTAAGTCTCTCTTCCAAAAGCTTTGCTTTCTCTTAACTAATTAAGAAATACGCTAAATGTCTTATGCCCAGGACTATATGGATATTTCCCTCATAGCTTGTTCAGAGACTTTGTCTTACTATAACCTTGAATTTAAACACTTAGAGATGTTCTAGTTCAGCTGCCAAATTTTATAGATAAGTTGAGTCCAAGAGCTAAGAAATGACTCAACCAAGGACACTGAATCTTTTTTTGGATTGATAAAGTGTAGTTACTGTGGAAAAAAAGCCAGGTGTGGTGGTGCATGCATGGGAGGGCTGAGGCAGAGGATGGCTTCAGCCCAGCAGTTCGAGGCTGCAGTGAGTAATTGCACTACTGTACTCCAGCCTAGGCTACAGAGCAAGACTGTCTCAAAAAGAAAAAAAAGAAAAAACAAAACAAAACAAAATTCTCTCTGTCAATTAATGCACAGGAATATGCAAAATGTTTTAAAGTATAAAGGATAAAACTATAATTTTTTTGTAATATTTATACAGGTACAGAGTAAATGTGATAATGTTTGTTCCCCTATATTAGTTCATTGTCTGCTGCTTACAATAGAATACCTTAACGTGGGCAATGTATGCAGGAAGAGAATTTATTTCTTATAGTTACAGAGGCTAAGGAGTCCAAGGTGGAGGGGCCATATCTGCTGAGGGCGTTCTTGCTGGTGGGGACTCTCTGCAGAGTCCCTTGGTGGCACAGGGCATCACATGGTGAGGGGGCTGAGCATCCTAGTTCAGGTCTCTCTTCTTGTAAAGCCACCAGTCCCACTTCCATGATAACAATCCATTAATTCATTGATTTATGAATGGGTTAATCCATTCGGCAGAGTTCTCATGACCCAGTTTCTCAATACTGACTGCCACATTGGGAATTAAATTTCAACATGAGTTTTGGAGGGGGCAAATATTCAAACCATAACATTCCCATTACAGCGTTAGAACTCTTTATTGCTTAATCTTGGCTCAGTGTCTAGATATATTGGTGTAGAATGGAATGAGTGGAGTAAAACCGTATGTTAAGCCTTTTACATGTTATTTCACTTATTTAGTCCTCACAAAAATTGTGTGAAGTGTCACCAGCCTCATTTTACAGATGGGAAATTGAGAATCTGAGTGGCTAAGACACTATCCTTAGGTTGCACAAGACATAGCAGAGCTGGAATTTTTGGATAAATAGCTGAATATGTGCAGATGGGAAACTTTGAGAAAAAATGTAATTAAAAAATTGTCCAGTAATTTTCCATAATATTTTCTTGTTATCATATTGGCTAATATTAGTACACACAGCAGTCCCTTTCTCACTGAAAAGATACTGAACACACTAGAAAATGGGGTGGATGTTTCTTGATATTTTAAGTAATTTATTGTTTTTCACCTTTGGACTCTGTGAATTTTTAAAGTATACAATAAAGAAATACAAAAATTGTTTGGAATACTTTTGTACAACCAAAGTTCAAGGTAGTTTAGATGAAAATGGGAAATGGAACTATGAGAAACTACAATTGACTTTTAAACAAATATGAGGCTATTATAAAGCAATATTGATGTCTTGAATCCTAAATTCCATATTAAGGTCATAGTAATAGCTTAGTGTTTTATGAGCTTATGTGGTGTTAGTGACATCATATCTTTAATCTTAACTTTGCCTCAAGCAAAAATAAATCTTCATGTTAACAAACTGTATGATAACTTAACTGCTTTTTTCAGTAGGTATCATTTTTTCCCTCTAAATATTACTAATATCTTGCTATGGCTAAAAAAGGAAAAAGAAAAAAGGAATACCTATTCTATTTTGTTGCAGTGGTAAATATTTCTACTATTGTAGAATGACTTGTGGACAGAAACCTTTCTATTTTTGCTTGTGCATTAAATTCTTATGCATTGGTGCATAAACGAGTCAGGCTAAATATACAAGACCAATTCTGCATATTTAGACCACCTAATTGCTAGATTGCCAGTTAATGTTTAGATCTCACACTTACGCATTTTAAAGAGAAAGCAGGCTCAAGAGATAGACTAGAAAAAGGCTCAGCATTTTTAGAAGAAACTTAAGGTTGAAGGAAAATGAGGAGCCTCCTGAGGTCATGGTTTACCAGGAGACATTAAGGGGCTGGTTCCTGTGAAGCTGTGCAAGGAAAAGTTTCAAACAGTTATGACCCAGAAAAGTCTCAGGGCGAAAAAAAGTAGTAGTGCTTCTCACTATATAAAGAAAAGCAAATGTTAAGCAAGCAGAATTTATTAAAGGGATAGGTTCTTGATTTGTAGTTAGAATTTGATATTTCATTTGGCTCTTGATCTAAATTACATGTCTTATAATTAGAAATATGTGTGTCACTTTCTTAAGGAATTATATCTTTGTAGGAAAAACTCAGCTACATGAATTATAAATTTTATCCCCACTTTCCTCTGTACGTGCCTGAAGAAACTCTACACACCAAGTCTAAGCTTTTGTGGACAGATGTAATTCACTGAGTGACAATTACTGAAATTGCAGGCATAGGTAGAATTCTTTTTCCAATTAGGCAGGAGACCTTAGACGTTTTGGTTTTGTGAACAGCCATAATTGTAAAGGAAAGATTTTCTAATCTTGCTGTCTTAATTGTCAATATTCTTTTTGGCTTTAATCCCCATTAGGAAAAGATTTATTTTGTTGGACTTCAGTTAGAATATGGTTTTTTTTTTTATGTTTTAGGTTCTTATTTGTATGAGGCAATGGTATCTTTCTTCCTTTAAATTTTAAGATGAAGAAAATAAGATTAACATAATTTTAAACTAGTAAAATCCACAAAAAATATGAAAGCAATTAGTTTCTCTGGAGAAAAAACTCACTCAAACTCAGAGTGCTTTTTCTATTCTCTCACTCAGCAAGAATAATCACCAAAGAACACTTCTGTGATCCCAAAATATGTGCGTTTTCTCCCCACTAGTAAGCAAGCAATCAGTTCTGCAGCAGACACCAGCTGGGCATTCTCCAATTTAATTCTGACACTATCCGCCCGAAGATAGTGTTAGATCCCACAGGCTGAGGGCTCAGTCCCCAAGATGGACCCCCAATCCAATGCCCATTTCAATCCCCAGGTTGTTTTTCCTATGTTTCTGACCAACCGGCTATGAATTGGAGTTCCCACAACCCTCTCCTTGGGTTTGATTAATTTGCTAGAGTGGTTCACAGACCTCAGGGAAACACGTTTACCGGTTTATTATAAAGGAGATTACAAAGGATACAGATGAAAAGATGCATAGGACGAGGTATGTGGGAAGAGGCATGGAGCTTCCATGCCCTCTTGGGTGTGCCACCTTCTAGGAACCTCCATGTGTTCAGCACCCAGAAGCTCTCGGAACACAGTCCTTTTGGCTATTTATAGAGGCTTCCTTAGCTAGACATGATTGATTAAACCATTGGCCATTGGCTATCAACTTATCTATCAGCCCCTCTCCCCACCCTGGAGGCTAGTGAGTGGGGCTGAAAATCCCAACCCTTTATTTAGGCCTTGGTCTTTCAGGTAACCAGCTCTGTCCTCAAGTCACTGAGGAGCTGTCAGCCATTAATCAATCATTAGCACACAAAAAGATATCACTTTGGAGATTCTAAGGATTTTAGAATTTGTATGCCAGGAAATGGAGTCAAAGACCAAATACATATATTTCACAACATCGCAGTTGCCTTTGATGATAAACCAAGAGGTTTCAATATTTGACTGAAGAGTTTAGAAACATCTCATATTCCATATAATAACACGTGAAATGTCAGAGAGGCAAGCCTGGGAAAAACTGATTATAATTCAGCATGAGAAAAGTAATCACCTATATTGTATCCTTTCTGGAGGAAGACACTGTGAACAAATCCAGGTTAGGGGCAGAAAGTCAGCAAAGCTCATAGAAAAAGGAGATCCCAAGAGCCAGAAGTTGGCAGTGCCTGTTCTGTAAACAGAACAGAGACAGAGAGATGCAGAGACAGAGAGAAGAGAACCAGAGACAGAGAGATGCAGAATGGGGTGGACACACTTACAAGAAAGGAGAGAGGTGCTCTTTTGTGGAACTGTGATAATTACTGAGGACTTACAATGACTTGTGCCTTTTGGGATTAGCCACCTCCTTTTGTGGTGTCTCTCAGTCAGGGTCCCAACAGAACAGAGATGATACTCTCAAATCAGGATAATGCAAGGAGGTGTCTTTCAAAAAGACTAATTATAAAGGTGTGAGTAGGGTATCAGGAAATGACAAACGATGGTGCAGGTACCCTGTGTTAGTGATGAAATTTTCACCACCCCTAGGCTTGAAGGATAGAGGGGAGGAAGAGTTTATGAGAATCTAGAAGGACGGAGAGAGTCCTGGGGCTTGGGCTGCTTTGAGAGATGCAGTGACTTTGTCAAGAGTCCTAACCAGACAGAGGCAACCTCAAGGGGAGGGAGTAAGGGAATGAATACCCTAACCTCAATCTCCTCCTTTTCTTTGATCTCCTGCCGGGGCTCCTCAACCAGAATTCAGAGAGTCTGGGATCTACTGATAAACTCTATAGAGGTCAACCCCTATCAGCAGGGCAAAAGGGGAAAGAAAATAGGACATTATGTATGTTATGAGTGGAGGACATGAATATTCTGGTCAATGGAAAAATGTCTCCTCTGAATACTTAACAACAGTTGATATCATTTATTTGTGAGTTTGAGAAGCATAAGTCATCTGGGTGAATCCCATCAGTTCTATATCTCTGATACAGTTAGGTCAGATCACAGTAAATTTGCTAAGGCTCCTGGGCTGTCTTAGGGGACGGGTCATCAGGTCTTCTCTTGGTGACACTCAAATCTTAACATGGACCCCTTCCAAAATATAATAGGAACAAGTTGATGGAACTTACTTGACATTTCTCCTCAAAACATCTCATACTGAACCCAGTTCTGTTCTGAAATTTTTAGTATTCTTTGATCTAGGTGCCAATAAAGCAAGTGCATCAAAGTAAAGATAATAAATGATATATCTTTGAACTATAGTTTCCTGAATCCATAAAACATGAAGTTACTTCATAGATTTTTCCAATGTGCTTCTAAAAATTCAGAATGTGAATTGACTTTTATTACCACAATCTAAATGAGAAATTGAATAAAGAGCCCATTTCTTCTTAAAATGCGTTCATAACCTTGTACTCTGCTTTAATGACATCATTGTATATTAAAAAGTCCAGAAGACCCTCAGTGCCCTGCAACAGAAATATTCATTTGAAAATATCATTCTCAATGTTGAGTTGGATTCAGGTGGAAGATTTCCCTTGTGAGCAAAATTATTTCTGTACTTTTTATAATTTATTTGATGATGGGTAGATTTTCAAAAGAATTTGCCACTCTGATATTCTCTAGCAAATATGAAATAAACTAAAATTTCCAAAATTTGATGTTGTACATAATACCTAGGAAAGTACAGAAACGAATCCATACATGCACTTAACATGGATTGATTGCTCATCATGTGCACGGCACTGTATTGGGAACTGGGAATGCAGAGATGGAAAACATCATGTGTGCCCTCCTAGTGCTGAGTCTAGTGAAGAAAAAGGTGAGGAGGCAACCACTGCACACAGTGACCAGGGATGTAAGAAACATGAGCAGAGGGAGCTCGTTCTCTCTCATTCTGAAACTTCAGTGACTTGAAAGCTAGATTGTTATTATATTCTCACAGTTTTCTGAGGCTGTTCTCATTTTTTTCCATCTATTTTTTTCTTTGTTGCTCAGACTGGGTGATTTCCATGGTCCCATCCCCAGGATTATTGATTCTTTCTTCTTTCCTCTCCATTCTGCTGTTGAGCCCATGCCTTGGGTTTTTTTTTTTTAACAATTTTGGTTACTGTATTTTTCAGTTCTAAAATTTTTATTTGGTTCTTTTTTTAACTTAATCATGTATGTATTCATGGTATGTAACATGATGTTTTGAAATATGTATACATTGTGGAATGACTAAATCAAGGTAATTAACATATGCATTACCTCACAAGCTTATCATTTATTTGAGAACACCTCAAATCTACTCTCTTAGCAATTTTCAAGTATATACATGGTTATTAGCTGTACTACCATGTTTTACAATACATTTCTTGATTTTATTCCTCCTGTCTAACTGAAATTTTGTATTCTTTGACCAATAGCTCCCAATATCTCCACCCTCCTGCCTCTGGTAACAACCATTGTACTCTCTGTTTCTCTGAGTTCCACATTTTTAGGTCCATGTATAAGTGAGATGATGCGGTAATTGTCTTTCTATGCCTGGCTTATTTCACTTAGCATAATGTATTACAGTTTTATTCATGCTGTTGCAAATGTCAGAATTTCCTTCTTTTTAAAGATTGAATAGTATTCTGTTGTGTATATGTACCACATTTTCTTATCCATTCATCTATTGGTGAACAGGTAGGTCGATTCCATGCCTCAGCTATTGTGAATAGAGCTTCAATGAATATGGGAGTACAGCTATCTCTTTGACTACTGATTTCATTTCCTTTGGCTATATATCCAGCAGTGGATTTGCTGGATCATATGGTAGTTCTATTTTTAATTTTTTAAGAAACCTCTACTTTTTTTTTATAATCAGTGTACTAATATACATTCCCACCAACAGGGTACAAGCGTTCCCTTTTCTCCACATTCTTGCAAGTACATATCTTTTGTCTTTTTGATAATAGCCATTCAAATGGGTGTGAGGTGATATCTCATTATGGTTTGATTTGCATTTCTCTGATGATTACTTATGCTGAGTAATTTTTCATATACCTGTTGGTCATTTGTATGTTTTCTTTTGAGAAATGTCTATTCAAGTCCATTGCCCATTTTTAAATTGGATTGTTTTCTTGTTATTTAGTGGTTTGAATTCTTCATAGATTTTGGAAATTAAGCTCCTTATCAGATGTGTGGTTTGTAAATATTTTCTCTCATTCCATGGGTTGTCTCTTCACTCTGTTGGTTGTTTCCTTTGCTGTGCAGAAGCTTTTTACTTTGATGCAATTCCATTGATCAGTTTTTGCTTTTGTTGCCTGTGCTTTTAGGTTATATCCAAAAAAATCATTGCTTAGGCCAATTTCACAAAGCTTTTCTCCTGCGTTCTCTTCTAGTGGTTTTACAGTGTTAGGTCTTACACTTAGGTATTTAATCCATTTGAGTTGATTTTTGTATGTAGTGTGAGATAAGGTTCTAATTATATTCTTCTTCATATGAAAATTCAGTTGTTCCCATACCATTTACTGAAGATACTGTTCTTCCCTCCTTTGTGTGTTCTTGGCACCTTTGTCAAAAATCAATTGACTGTAAATGAGTGGAGTTATTCTGGGCTCTTTGTTTGGTCCCATTGGTCTATGTGTTTTTTATGCCAGTAACAGGCTGTTTTGGTTACCATATATATATATATATATATATATATATATATATTTTTTTTTTTTTTTTTTTTGAGATGGAGTCTCGCTCTGTCACCCAGGCTGGAGTTCAGCGGTGCGATCTCGGCTTACTGCAACCTCCTCCATCTCCCTGGTTCAAGCAATTTTCCTTGAACCTCCCAAGTAACTGAAACTACAGGCGCATGCCACCATGCCTGGCTAATTTTTGTATTTTTAGTAGAGATGAGGTTTCACCATATTGGTCAGGCTGGTATCGAACTCCTGAACTCAGGTGATCCACTTGCCTCAGCCTCCCAAAGTGGTGGGATTACAGGTGTGAGCCACTGCGCCCAGCCAAGATTACTATAACTTTGTGTAGATTTTGAAATCAGGTAGTGTGATGCCTTCAGCTTTGTTCTTTTGCTTCTTTCTTTATTCTATTTCTCTGTTGAGAATTTCTATTTCTTTGCTGAGAGTTTTGCTTTTCTCATTTGTTTTAAATGTGTTTGTGATTGCTTATTGAAACATTTTTATGATGGCAACTTTAAAATCCTTGTCAAATAATTCCAACATCTATGCCATGTCAGTGTTGACATCTGTTGATTAACTTTTCTTATTCAAGTTGAGATTTTCCTGGTTCTTGGTATGATGAGTAATTTTTGTTTGTATCCTGGACATTCTGGGTATTACATTTTGAGACATTGGATCTTACTCAAATCTTGTGTTTTAGAAGGTTTTCTCTGATATCAGGCCATCAGAGGTGAGGTGGAAAACCCGCTTGGTTTTCCTTGACACCCTGTCAATGGGGGGGACTGATTAAGGTGTCCCCATTAATGCCAGCTGGGTATAGTGGTTCAGGCTCCATACTAGGCCACCATTGCCATCACCCTAGCTGGGAGGAGAAGGGGCACCTCATTACTTCTCTCTACTTGGCCTCCACTGGGACAGTGGGGTTGGGCCTCATTACTGTTGGAGGGTCACCTCCCTGTCACCTGGTGGGGTGGAAGTTCAGGTTCTCCATGTGGCCTCCTATGAAACCATGGGGGAGGGACCTTGTTACTGCCAAATGAGAATGGAAGTTCTGGTTCCCTATTCAGCCTTCTCTGACACCACCTTGTAGGGATGTTGATCACCTCACTATAGCCTGGCAAAGGCGGAAGGCTAGGCTTCCCAGTTGGTCTTTGCTGACAGGGCTATAAGTGGGGTTGCAGTTTTTTCCATGCTTTTTGGTTGGAGTAGGGCTATTATTGTCTAAAAGTTTCCTGTCTTTCTTGGCTTCCTTTTCCTAGTCTTTTGGCTAGATGTTAGGTTGTATTATATATATAATAATGTGGGTCTTGGTTTTGGACTTATTTGTGTGAAGAAATGACCACATTCTAATTTTTATGTTTGTTTTGAAATAGTATTGGGGTAACTGTTGGTTTTCATCTTCATTTTTTCATCAATAGTATGGTTACTTTGAATAAATAAATTAAAGCTTTCGGTAGTTTCCAAAAATAAATAAATAAGTAAATAAGGGTGATTGGAAGTAAAAGGCACTACCCTAGCAGCTTGGAGTCAGAGTCCAAGAGTCCATGCCTGCTTCTCCACTAATGATGTGAGTGATCTAGGATAAGTCATTTGCTCTTTTTGTGCCTCAGTTTCTATTTCTGTAATTGGAGGGTTAGATGTTTGACAGTTTGTTAAGTTTGCACTAACTCTCAAAATTTCTATGCTGGAAGAAAGTGGGGCAAAGCATTTTACACTTGGTTTCTCTGTGATTTAGTGTAAAGTACCAGAAAATTAAAGTTGACATTATTTATTGCTACTTACCTTCACTTGGAATGCAAGAAAAGGTTATTACTGTGCTAATACAATGGAGGGTGACATTTTCCTACAGAGTAGCAGTATAATCACAGTAACAAAAATAAGTAAACAGGAGGTATCTTGGTGGCATATGAAGGTTAAGAGCTGTCAAATGCATTGCTCTTTGAATCAAAGTTTAAAAAATTATGTCGGAGACAATGTTTATTTAAATGATTTAATTACAGGGAGGTAAATGATCAAGACAGAGTGCTAGATAGGCATTTATTATGCTAGAATTATTCACGGCAGTAATGGCCTCACAAAAAGAGTTGCATTTTTCCTTTATTTTGTATGATCTTCTTTTGAATACTCTCTTTGATATCAATTAAGTCTCAAATTGTTTATTTGGTCCATATATATATATATATATATATATATATATATATATATATATATAATATGTACTCAGTAGTGGAAGAAAATGTTGGTGAAGGATTTCAGGAGAACATAATCTTGCCCCTTCTCCATCATGTCTCAGGGCAGAGCCAGGTGAGTAGGCAGAAGAGTTCACCTGTCCACATGGTATTCCCATGTCCTGGCTTGGCCAGGCAAAATTCTGCAAGCCAGTATTCAGTCCCAAGTCAGGGAATGAATTTTAGAATTTATGAGAGAATGTGTTTTATTGTGTCTCCTTTTCTCTTATTTCAAAGATAGCCAGAAAGGGGATAATAAAATCCATGGAATTTAAGGTGAAAAAAGCAGGCTTCCGTTGAATTTGTGGTGAGTTAGAATAGTTATTGTCACAGTTAAAGCTGCCTGTCCTCATTTATAAATAAGTTTTTTTTTTCAAAGGAAGGGATTAATTTTTGAGTTAAGGAAAAATACAGCAGGAGTTTTTCCTTCTCAAAATAAGTCAGGGCAGTTGTATCACACCCGGGCAGCTTTGGATTGTTTTCTCAGATACAGTTTCTTGTGGCTGCCCAATCTGGTTGGCGTGATGCTCATTTCAGTTACAGAAATCTTTAAATGAAACACTCACCTGTTCTTTCCTTGCCTTGTTAACAGGCTGTCATTCAAGACTGAATGGTACAGACTGGATTTATTTTTTTTTATTTATTAAAACTTTTGCTGTATAATAAATCTGCTCATTCAAGAGAGTTAAAAACAGCAACTTGATTATTTTACATTTTGGTTTTAAAAATAAGATAGGCTTTTATGGCAATTACTGGATTGCAAAGACATGTAAATATGATGGCTAATGCAGTGACAATTTATGTTTTAAGTCATTTTCTTCCTTATAATTATGGATTTGAAAGACAAGATTGCTAGCATCACAGTTGCCAATATGTTTTAGAAGGAAAGGCACAACAGAATAAGTGCTCCAAAGTGTTTTAAAATGTTTTAGGTGCCTTTTAGCTTTATTAGTACAAGTAACTGTATAATATGATTTATATTTTATTATTCCTTCTCATAGAAAAGTAGAGAGTAGTATGTGAATAGGAAGTTATTTTGTTAAGAAGAATTCCAGGTGAATCACAACATCCACTTCTTATATTGTGATAGGGTCCTTCCTTCTTTGGACAACCCCTACCAAAGGCTGATTCATAAGTGCATGGCTGTTGTCTTCTCATTGTCATTAGCCTATCTGCAGTGACATGTGTGGCTTACAGCATCTCTGTTAAATGTCATTACAAGTGTTTCCTTCTGTGCACAAAAAACTGAAGCAAGAATGAAGGTGATGGAGCTAATAAAGATTTGGGATTAATGATTTTTCAAAAAGTCACGGGTTAGTCTAACTGAAGTTAATAGTGTATGTGGAAATCAATGTTCTGAGACTTCAGGCAAGGGTATTCAAGCTATCATTGATTTCAGAAGATCTGAGTTTTTTTTTTCATGATTAACTTGATAGTGAAGGAAGTACCTAGGATGTCAAATATGTTTTGGAATCTTTGTTTATTAACAAAGATGTTTATCATTTTCTGTTTATTATTTCCTGAAATGGTCTCCCACTGTATTCTATGTGCAATAAATTATGAAAGAGTGATATGCTGTATTGACTATCCAATTTGGAAGGCAGAGGAATACAGAGGACATTCATGTGAGGACAGAAAAAAATTTCAGACAGGACAGTAAAAAAAAACGTGTGGGGAGGTATAACAAGGCAAGTGACTTTAGGAGAGATTAGGGCCCTTAACCAGATCTTGCCAATCCTTTGGTGAGTCATTTATCTCAGGAGGGGAGGAGACTCAACCATCGGCATCTATAATGGGGCTGGTGGTTTCCTAGAAAGCAGAAGCGAACCAATCCCAAAGCAACCAGAAGCCTTTGGGGGTGAAGAGCAGGACAAAATGGTGTGATTGGAAAAGGTTAGGGGTTGATCTTGGAGGCAAGGACAGCTTGTACCCTATGAACGTTATGTGAAGGGAGGAGTAAAAGCATGGGCATTTGCAGGTGAGTTGAATGAACTTGCGGGCTATGCTGTTTCATTATTTATGAACCTTTCTATATGATTTGTTCTCTTACTCTTGATGTGTGCACTTTATTATACTTTCTATTAATTAGACATCTCAGTTGAACAATATGCAAGAGACTTTGTCCAGCATTTCTGATGTGACTATGGATACTAGGTATGACCTGGAAATCTTCTAGGAATTTCTTGGAGAGGATTCAGGAAATATTGTATAAATCACGTATATATGTATTCATTATATTTCTAAATTATATTCTATTTTCTTTCAAAAACTTCATCCCAAACATGGCAAGTGACAAAATTATCATTAGATTTTCTTTATTTTTGGGAAAAAGTTAAATGTGTAAATGAAATACCGCAAACTTATCTTTGGAAAGTTTTGCAAATACTGTACATTACTTCTTTTGCTGACAACTATGGAAAAGTGTTAGAAATAACTATACTGTATTAATATAAAGGGAAAAAGAAAGGTCAAAACATGCCAGGGTGATTCCATTGAATAAAGAAAACCCTTGTTTAAAATTGAACCATAACAGGAATCCTGGTTTTTCCATGAGAATGATTTGAGCCATTTTGCCACCATCAGATTTGGAAACTGCAATTTTAGGCAGCCAGAGAATGGGATGGCAGAGTATCTGTCCCTTTCCTTTCCATCCTGAGGATTGTCTTTCAATCCCTTCATAAGCTATTTATACTTCTTTGGGGATGGAGTAAAGAGAAAGTAATGAAAGTGAAACACAAAATGGTCAGCTTAACTAAAGGCTTTTTTTTTTTTTTTAAACAACAACAACAACATAGGTTTTAATGTATCTAGATTTTCTTTTGTCTCAAGTAGTAGATAATGAAATCTAATGGTACACAGTTGGACTCTAGCTACGAGATTATTTCCCTAGTTATATATAAAAATAAATTTCAGCAAATTACATTTATATTTCTGTTTTCCCAAGGTGAAACAGAAAGACAACACTGAACATCAGGTATTCTAAATATTTTGCCATTGTTATCAATCACTAGCTCATGTTGTGGGGCTTTTTGTTGCTGTTTATGTGTTGTTATATTCTGTAGGATGAAGTTTTATTACTTGAATTTGAATGACTTGACCAAAATGTCTGATCTGTATAATTATATTCATTCCCAAATAGTTTGATGTAAATGGTAAATATATATGAATGAAAGGCCTTGACAGATTTTATTAAGTTCCAACTATGCACAAGTTCAGGAAATTATTTATGCTTGCCCATCCCCAAACACACACTCTTCTTTTTTTTTTCTCTGAATTTGATATTTTAATAGATATTTTTAAAAAAATATTTATTATATGTTTATTGAAAATATTGCTTTTCAATTTTAAAAACTGTATTTTCTTTTTTTTGTTGTTTTGTTTTGTTTTTAATTTCCTTTAATTCTTCATGGCATGTTCATTCTCATTCTTTTATTTATTTATTTTATTTTATTATTATTATACTTTAAGTTTTAGGGTACATGTGCACAACGTGCAGGTTTGTTACATATGTATACATGTGCCATGCTGGTGTGCTGCACCCATTAACTCGTCATTTAGCATTAGGTATATCTCCTAATGCTATCTCTCCCCCCTCCCCCGACCCCACAACAGTCCCCAGAGTGTGATGTTCCCCTTCCTGTGTCCGTGTGTTCTCATTGTTCAATTCCCACCTATGAGTGAGAACATGCGGACACACTCTTCTTTTTAAGAACAGTACCTGGTAACTTACAGATACTAACATAGGCAATGGACAGACTGGTAGTGTTTGTTCTTTTAAAAAACTGAGTGCATTTCTAAGCATTTATTTTCTTAAGCCAAGGCCTGAAATAAAAATTACAAATCTACTGCTTCAGGAACTAGGGAGATAATGTATTAATTCTAATGTTTTACAGTAATAAAATTCACTACATATTTTACTTTTAACCTGATGATGATAAGCAGCAGCTGATTCTGATCCCAGCAGAGGATGAACCATAGTCAGGGCCAAGCTGCGATGGAAGGAGGACAGTGGCTGCTTGCTTTCACAATTGATACCACAAGGGAATGTGGGCTTAATGTTGCCAGATCTCCCAGTTTTTCAAGAGGGATCATAAATTTGGGTTTTTATAGAAAATATTTCACACTTTACACATTGGCAATATAAAATGGATTTAAAAATCTTTTTGTACATTGCATGAGTCAGTGCTTAAGAGGGCAATCAAAACGTATCTTCAGCCCAGATTTGGCCCATATCCGGCAGGCTCTGGTCTATATGCCAATTATGCTCAAAGCTATTTCTCCTGTCTTAAGTTTCAGTATCATATATAAATCTGCCAGGTGGACATTTTCCTGCATATGCCTTTAACTAATATGTTCAAAACAGCACTCATGGGCTTCCCTGCTCTTGGCCAAGCCTGCTCTACAACCAGACTTCCTTCCCTTGGCCCAGTGTTCTGTTCAAAGTCAATGACACAACTATGGCCCATATGGATACTACTATCTTGCTCAACTCTCCTTCAGTCAGCCACTAGATCCTCCCAGGTTCTCCTAAATATTCCTCTGTTCATCCTCAATTTCTGCTTATCATCTGTTTCTGTGATTGCAGCCTCCTAATGGTCTCCTGGTTGCTGGAATGGCCTATTGAAAATGCAAATATGATCTGGCTCCTCTCTCGCTCCAGTGTATCCTAAAGGCTGGTCTTCAACCACAGGATGAAGTTAAGCCTCACCTCCTCAGGGTGACAGAGCCCGTCTATCTTTCCTTCTGCCTACCCCTCAAGTCCCATGTTATGCCATCTCCCATCTTTCATTCTGTTGATAGGAAATGCCCGGTTTTCTTAACTACACGTACACTTTGCTGACCTTGTGCCTTTGCTCATGCTGTTCCCTCTTTCTAGCATTCTCTTTTCCTCTTCTTTGTGTGACTTACTCTCATCTATTCTGCAGAACTCCGCTTAGGCAGCATGTCCCCCCACTCTCAGCATGCATTTCTCACACCAGTTAACATATTGTGTTAAAATGACCTGTTCATCCATTAAGCTGCAATATTCCAAACTGCAGGATCCACACATAATTATCCTTTATTTCTCAGTTCCTAGCAGAGTTCCCAGTCAAAGGAAGGCAAGCAAAACCTATTTTTTAAATTAAAATGAACTATGTGGTCCTAGAATCCTCTCAGAGGGCAGCAGAGTGTATTAGTGTGCAGAGTGTATCAGTATGCAGAGTGAGGTGCAGGTTGAAATTCAACTATTAAGACAGTGGAGGTATTTTGCTGCCTACTCCCTTTCTTCCCAACCTGCCCTGCCCCCCACTACACAAGGCTATTGTAAAAAAACTAGGCAATTAGTTGGTTGGCTAAGAAAACATTATCAGCTTTGGTTTAAAAAGTCCCTCCCTAGCTGACTTGATGCTTTTCCCCCAAAGACTTCAGGGAAGGTGTATGTAGGACTCAATATTACCCAGTTAAGTATTTAGTTCATTGTGAGCTGCTACATGTGACTTTCAGTGGAATCCAGAAGCAACAGTTTTTAATTTTTAGCATTTTCCTTGGGGCAACCTGACAAGGACCCTTGATGCCATTACTGTGGGACTCTCCAAGATGTCTGTTAATCCAGTTGTCCTCATTCCCTACCTGCTGTTTGGACAACAGTCTAGAGGTGCCCTGAAGGTGCCCCCAGAAAACCCTGAAGCACAGGGATGGTAAGTAGGTTTCACCTCACATGTCATTTTTAATTAAATGGTAATGGCTCCAGCAGAACAAAGTCAGCTCAAATCGCTGCTCACAAGGAGTCCGTAGTCCAACTTCAGAGGCAAACAAACAGAGAAGTTAAGGAAGGCAGCAAGGAAGGCAGGCACACAGGGCAAAATTTTAGAGCAACTAGTCAAAATGGTCTCAGGCAATAAGGAACATGCACCAGAAAGCAAATCAATGCACTGCTTCCTCTGTCTTGAAAATCTTGCCACAAAAAGTGTCAATGGGCTTAAGCAATGTGGGTAGCCAGACTACATTGAGGCACAAACCCTGTTACTCCAGGCATATGGGTAATCAGCAGTTGGTGACAGGCTCTCTTAAGGGCATTGTTCTAAAAAACCCCAGAAGGTAAACAAGGGGACAAAATGATATTTGGTTAGAAACAAAGCTGTGGTAATGAATTGTATGTGTCAACTAATATGTTAGGAGATGCCCGGATAGCTGGTAAAACATTATATCTGGGTGTGTCTGTGAGGGTGTTTCTGGGAGAGATTCATATTTAGAGCAACTAGTCATCTATTCGAATGAGTAGACGGAGATCATAATCAAGTGAGTTAAGATCATGGGACTTCTTGGCTTCCATAATCACTCTATTTGAATGGGTAGATCACCCTCCTCAATGCAGCATCATCCAGTCTATTGAGGGGCTGGATAGAGCAAAAAGGTGCAGAAAGGGCAAATTCTCCCCGTCCTCAGACCTTTGGTCTCAAACTGAATTATTCCACCAGTTTTCTTGGTTTTCCAACTTGCAGATGGCAGATCATGGGACTTCTTGGCTTCCATAATCAAGTGAGTCAGTTCCTGAAGTAAATCTCCTCTTATATATCTGTATATATCCTGCTGGTTCTGTTTCTTGGAAGAACCCTGAATAATACAATAGTCTTTGCCATCCAATAGACTTGGGTTTGTAACCTTGAGAAAGTAACCTCAGAGCCTCAGTTTTCTATTGTGTAAATCAGGCAATAGTGCAAACTTCATAAGTTCATTGTGAGAATTACGTGAGAAAGTGTTCATAGATGTCTAAGCCTAGTGGCCGAGAACACTTATCCAATATGTGTGTGTTTCCTCTATGAAGTCATTCCTATTATTATGCCTAACTCTCCCTGGGAATTTGGGGGCAGCTTCATGGAGCAGGTATCACAAGTCCAAACACTGGCAACTGAAATGGACCCAAAAGGGTGCAGCTTGCCAGGCATAGGCACACATATTTCTTTTAGACCCTCAGCCCACATCTATTTTCCATCTGGCTGACCCTGCTTAGCTTCTGAGATCAGAGATTGGGTGCATTCAGCCTGCATCTATTTACTATGACTGGGGTAAAATGGCTTCAAACTTAGAATTCTTCAGGCACAGAGGCATGTCAGTTCTTTAATAAGATTTTCTGTAATTAATATTCATTCTTAGGTTCCAGGCTATAAAAAAATCAGCTTAAGCCCTATAAAAAGATATTTATTCTAGCAACAGAAATGTTAGTCCTATTTGCATGTGCAATAATTTCCTTCGACAAAATAGTTTTGCTTTATTTCTAATTTATAATCCATAATTTAATAAAGTAAATATAGGATGTAAAATAATTCTACCTACCTTTAATATGTTTGATATGAAAATATTAACAGTAACCTAAGCAGGCTCAAAAGTACTTAGTTATTGTTAATTGTCCCTTGTATATATTAATTGAAGCAAATTTTTGGTCATATTTGCTTATAGAATTGGGAGGGGAGAGGATGAAGACAAGGAAAAAGGCAATAACATTTATTGAGTGCCAACTGCTTGCCAGAAAATTCATATGCCATCTTCATATTCATTACCACCCTGGGAGGTCAGTAGAGCCATTCTGTTTGAAAAATGAAGGAACTCGAGAGCAATGAGTTTACATGACAGGGGCGTTACATAATAGGCAGGATATATAGATGGCAGGGCATTTGTTTAAACAGGGCATGTCCATGTAACACTGCCTCAATAAAGAAACAAATGGGCTTTCAGAATGTTATACCAAATTCAGTCAAGGGACATCGAGTGCCCGGTGTTAAGTACGGCATCAAACCAGGCACTGCAAGTGTTAAAGAGATGCATGAAACTGGCTTCAGGGGTTCAGTAAGGAAGACCCACACACAGGTCTCAGGTGCTAGTTAATGGTCCAGGAACTAATTACCTAGTACATCTATTAATGTTTGTTTACATATCTGTTTGTAGATACAATCATTACCTAGAGCAATTATTTTGGTGTCATTATTGGTAAACTAGACATACACTTAAATCTTCAAATTTCATTGCCATAAACATCTATAATACTGGGAGCATATCCATATTATAGCACATATCTGTCCCCCTAAGTGGACTGTGATTTCCTTGAGGTAGGGTCATGCTTTATTCATCTGTAGTGTCTGGAAACTATATGGTCTGATATCTGATAGGTATTGAATACATATTTGTTGAATGATTTGAAGTATTGGAACAAAACATTTAAAAATATAAATAATTATTGCTAACAATATATGTCTACATCAGATTCTAATTTAAGAATCTGTTTATTGCATTTACTTCCTTACACATATGTATTTATTGTCAACAATCCATAATCATTGTCCAGAATCCTTAACAATTGAATACTATTTTTCTCTGTCTCTACAGTTTAGTAGGTTTTGGCAAGTATACAGCAGTGATTATTAGATATGTATTTCTTTTATTTCTCTGTTTTGAATTCTATTTCTCTAATTTGAATTCAAAATGATTTTCATCTCTGTTTCTAAGAGGCAGCCAGAGATTACTTCTAGAGTTAAAAGGAGAGCCCTCATTTGAACCTGTTTGAGTATTTCTTATACTCAACTGCTTTGGTTCATGGTTTAAATAAAGTTGCAGAGTATGCATTATATTTTTCATGTACTGTGTTATGTTTTACCCAATGGGTTTTAGATTCAATCCTATTTTTAAAAAATGAGGAAGTGCTGCTATGGTTTGAGTGTATCATCCAAAGTGCATGTGTTGGAAACTTAATCGCCAAAGCAAGTGTTGGGAGGTGGGGCTTAATAAGAGGTTATTAGGCTACCTCTTATTAGAGGATTAATGCTGTTATTCCAGAAGTGGGTTGGTTACCTTGGGAGTGAGTCCCTGCTAAAATGACTTTTTTGGCCCCCTTCCCCACTCTCTGTTACACTTTCATCCCCTTTGACACAGAATAACTTGGGACCAGTTGTTCATTTCTTTCTGCTTATTCTGCCATGGTGTATTGTAGTAAGAAGGCTCTCACAAGATGCTGGCACCTTGATATTGGACTTCCCAGCCTCCAGGACTGACTGTGAGGAATAAATTAGTTTTCTTTTAAAGTTACCCAGTCTGTGTTGTTCTGTAATAGCAACACAAAGCAGACTAAGACAGAAAATTGACTACCAAGAGATGGGACTGTTGCCATTATAAATACCTGAAAATGTGGAAGCAGCTTTGGGACTGGGTAGTAAATAGAGGCTGGAAGAATTCAGAGGAGCAGGCTGGAAAAAGCCTAGAATGCTGTGAACAGAGCACATCAATTCTGGTGAAGGCTCAGAAGATAAGAGCTACAAGGAAAGCCTGTCTTAGGAATGATTTAAGTGGTTGTGGTCAGAATCTTTGTAGAAATATGGACAGTAAAGGCCATTCTGATGAGGTCTTAGATTGAAATGTGGAACAAGAAGGCATTGAAAACTGGAGGAAAGGTCATCCTTGAACAAAGTGGTGAAGAACTTGGCTGAATTGTATTCATGCCTGAGGACTTTATGGAAGGCAGAACTTAAGAGCAATGAACTAGGATATCTGGTGGCAGAACATTTCAAAGCAAAATATTGGCAGAGCTATGTGGCTACTTTTAACTGCTTATAGTAAGATGCAAGAAGACAGACATAATTTAAAGACAGAATCTATAGTTAAAATGGAAACAGAATGGCAAGATTTGGAAAACTTTCAGTCTGACCTTATGAAGAATAAAAAAGTGTGACTCCAACTCAGAAGAGCTGCTGAGTGGATTGAACCTAGCAAAGCCATAGGAGCAGGGCTGCCTGAGGCTTTGGTAGTCTAACCCCTACACCAGTGTGCCCAGGATGTGGAGCACTGAGTGAAAGGAGATTATTCTGGAGCTTTCAAACTTAATGTTGTTCTCCCAGTTGGGTTTTGGACTTACTTGGGACGAGTTATTTATTTCTTCCTGCTTATTCCTCCATTTTGGAATGAGAATATTTATTCTAAACCCGTTCTATCATTGTTTTTTGGAAGTATGTAATTTGCTAACTTCACAGGCTCACAGCTAGAGAGAGAGTTGCCTCAGGATGAATTGTGCCTTGAGTCTCACCCATATCTGATTTAGATGGCACTCTGGACTTTGAATTTTTGAGTCGATGCTGGAGTGAGACAAGACTTTTGGGACTCTTGGGATAGTATGAGGGTATTTTGCATTGTTAGAAGGACATAAATTTGGGGAGCTGGGGTGGAATTCTATGGTTTGAGTGTGTCTGCCAAAGTTTATGTGTTGGAAATTTAATTCTCAATGCAAATGTATTGGGGAGTGGGACCGAATAAGACTTCTTATTAGAGAATTAATACCGCAGAGGAATGGGCTCGTCGTTGTGGGAGTGGGTTCCTGATAAAAGGATGGGTTTGGCCCCCTTCCCAGCCCTCTCTTGCATTCTTTTTCCCTTCTGCTTTCTGCCATGGGATGAGGTAGAAGATCATCTCACAAGATGCTGGCACCTTAATATTGAACTTCCCATCATCCACAATTGTGGGAAATAAATTTATTTATCTTTTAAATTACCCAGTCTGTGTTGTTCCGTTATAGCAACACAAAACAGAGCAAGATAAGAATATTACCTATAAATAAAGCTAGCATAGTGTTACCTGAATAATTCTCATTTAATTGAATCTGACCTTGCTCTTTTGAAAGGAAAACTGAGACTTAGACTTCTTTCTAAGTCCTCCTGCAGTTGCTTTGACTTTTTGATTTCTTAATAACATTAGCAACACAAAAATATGTAGCTGTGCTTTGTAGGTTGATGTTTTTAATATGTTGAATATCTAAACTCTTATTTCTTTGTAATATTGGTGTGTTCATATATTGTACTATTTTTGTAGCCAATATTTACTGAATCATGATTATATGCTAAGTGCTAAGCTAGGTACATGATTTGCTCATCATGACAATATTAACCCAGAGACTTAAGTACTATCATTTTCAGTACTGTACTGATAAAGAAAGTGAAGGTGAGGAAGATTATATTGTTTGCCTAAGTTACATAGCTAGGAAGAGGCAGATCAAGGACTAAATTTCTGTTTGCTTGAGTCCAGGGCCTTAATCTCCATGTTGTACTGTGTGCTGCAAATAGTTGCTTACTGTGTATATTCTTGAGAGAATTCTTATGTCTTCACATAAAATTACAAGGACAAGTAGAGTTATATTTAGCAAAAAAGTAAGCATATGAGATTGTTCTGATTATTTGATTCAATTTGTACTTTATTTTTTTTACATTTATATAGGTCCCTTTGCTCTGGAAAAATGGTGTCTTTGGAAGGTATTGAGAAAACAACCCTGGTTGTGGTATCAGATAAGCTGCTTTTAACTGCATATAAATTTGTTATAACAAAATGGGCTCAAATAATTTATTATATATTATCTCACATAAGCAGAAGCCCTGAGGTAAAGTGGTTCCAAGATCAAATAACTGAACTGGTCAATGTCATCAAGAATCCAGATTTTTCCATCTTTCTGCCATCCTCAGTGTATTGGTACTTACCCTCTGACTTGATCCTCATTGCTTTAAGATGGCTGCAGCATCTCCTAGCATCACTACAAACTCAAAGGCAGAAAGAAGAATCATTTTCTGGAATATATCCAGCTATGGAAGTAAGGAAAAATGTCCCCAGAACTCCCCTGTGCATTCCCCCTTAATGTTGCTTTTGCCCTAATTGTATCAGATGACCATCTAAAACTCAGTCACTAGGAAGGGGAATGGAATGATCATGATTGATTATGATTAGACTAGTTCAGCTTTATCTCCTCACTACCTGTTATGATCACCTCCCAAGCCTGCAAAGGAGCAAAGGAGTCCAGGCTCTCCTAAGACACACTGTCACTAGAAAGTGAAAAAAATAAAGGTTCTTCACAAAAAAGAAGAGAGAGAGAGAGTGTGTGTGTGTGTGTGTGAGAGAGAGAGAGAGAGAGAGAGAGAGAGAGAGAAAGAGTACTGGGGCTAGGGGTGTGTATGTCTCTTGGGTTAAAAGTAATGCCTAAAATTATTTTTTTGAGCAGGGTAAATCCAAGGGAAGATTGTCACAGATACTCAAGTTTATGAACTAATAGTTTGGGACAATCATTTTAACATGGCAGTAGGGATCTAAATCACTATTAGTGGCAATTTGGCTACAATGAGAATTGAAATAAGGATGATCAAAGGCTATTATCAGCAGTTGACAGTGCCTGACACCTTTCAAGCAAAGTCCTTTATTTTCACTTTCATTCCTGGCAAGTAGATTGTCATTGGAGTCTATATAGATGTCTTGGGGACATATGCACCTGCAGGTCATGTGGGAAAATGATGAGTGGGTCTTTGTCATTCTCTTGTCCATTCATGAAATCAGTGAATAAGGAGCTAGCAGTGGTTTACCTAGTTTAACTTATTATCTAGTACATTTCAGGATCTTCGTAAGTTTTATCCTTTGTTAATACCAATATTGAGAGGTTGATATGATAGAAAAACTCAAGAAAAATCTTTCAGGCCGTGTTGATGTAGGTTTAGAAAGATATTTTTCATCCCATGGCTATCGATCATTCAACTCTGTGGATAATACTATCTCGCATGTAAAAAGGGACATTGAAAAGGAAAAAAGGTAGCTTTTGCTTCAAAAAACTTATTGCTGCCAGTGATAATCAATTACTTTTACAAACAAACTTATGGAATTAATGCAGGATTACATACTTGAGTTCTTTCACCCTAGTCACTATAGGATACTCTGAGAGAATTTTAAACATGCTTCTGATTTAAATTATGTATTAATTGGTTCAGGCATCACATTGAAAGGCCTAGTACTAATGATAAAGCCAGGTAAGCAGTCTGATTAATGAAAGGAGCAGGGAAGACTTTGCTGCAGGAGCTGAAGCACTTTGTCTACCAGCACTAATCATCGTAATTTATTGTGGGAAACTTTTTCCATAGCCCTGAGTCATAGTTGTAATTCCTCTGTCTAGAATGTATTGACTCACTTGTTTAAAAATACTTTCCAGGGAAAAATGTTTATTTTAAAGTGGAAATAAGAAAATATGCTTCTCTTATTATGAAAATGGAACCAAGAATTGAAAAGTTAGATGGGTTGCTTAGTGATATGTGTACACTTATTTGAAAATTTGGTTCCAATTAGAAAAATGGATGCTGTATGGGGTAACCATTTTATATGATATTAACATGTTGGAAAATATTCCATTATTCTTGTAACTGCACTAAGTCCTTATCGTTTTTATATTGTGAATGAGATTGTGAAGAGAAAGGAGAAACCCAAGGATGATGAAAAGGAGCTCACAGAAGACAGAGCTGGAAGGAAATTATGTACATTGACGTTGTTATTGACTTGATTGTATAAATGAATATAGTTTGCAATGTAAACACTTTAATTATATCTTTCTGTTCCCCAATGTTGCTTGTTAGTTTTTCTATCACATGTGACTTAGAGACTTACTTCAGCTGTGTCTGTAACATAATATTTTTCTAGTCATGTTTATAACACAATTTTTCCATTTATTTCATGTTTTGGCTCAAATGAAGGAGTTGGTCAAGAAAGAGGTGGTTTACATGTGCCATGTTGGTGTGCTGCACCCATTAACTTGTCATTTAACATTAGGTATACATATGTAACAAACCTGCACGTTGTGCACAGGTACCCTAAAACTTAAAGCAGAAAAAAAAAAAAAGAAAGAGGTGGTTTGACTGGTTTCACCTTTGCAGTTGCATTTTGGATTCTCCTGCACCTCTCTTAAATTGTCTCTCTTCAATTTGTTTCATCCTTTTGTTTTGGCTATTATAATGTTTCTTGAAGTCTGGAACATTTCGGTTCTGTTTTCTTGACACCAAGTAGGATTGGATCCCCCAGGGCTGTGCATTTCCTGGAGACCGAACACTTTCAGCTGGCACTGCTAAGTTGAATATAATTGCCAGTCTCCATCATTAATTTATAGCCAGGTGTAAATAAATATTTTCTAGGCAGAAGTTACAAGAGTTTCCAATAAGAAGGGAACTGTCTTTTTTGGGGAAATTGCATTTCAGTGGAAGCTTATAGCTTAAAGGCATTCATTAGAGGTAAAGCAAGAAAGAGATGGCTAAGATGCTTTGAGTTAGCAATAACATTTCTGTTATGTGGTAGAGATGGACAGGTAAAAGTGAGGGACAAGGATGAAAGGGAAGTGAGAGCCAAATTCTTTGAAAAGATGTCCAGACCATGTTAGTAACAGGTGTGACTAATGCTGTATATGAAAAAAAATTTTGCATTGCTATGATGTTAGTCTGTCAGCAGAAGATCAAGAACATCCAAGATGACATCTGGGTTTTATTTATTTTTTTAGTTAAATGTGTATTTGAGGAACATTTATAATATGTGTAGTGCCCTTCTTATAGCAGTCCTCCTAGAAGAAGGATGCCTGAAGATATTCTTGAATAATGAGTAGAGATTAAATAGCCAGTGAAGAAGAGGAAAGGTGTTCTCACCAAGGCATGCAGGTGAGAAAAAGAATTCAGGTGGATCTGTAAAGCAGGAGGGTGGAATGCCCTGAATCGTTTCTGTACCTCATCATGCTGGATTTGACATACCTTGCCAAGGTCACTTGAAACAAGAGGTTTCTATTTTATGGGGAGTTAAATGATGATAACAGCAATATTATAATAAGTTAGAATAGCTGTACCTTAGTAAATTCGTCTAATGTGGCAGATGCTGTTTAACTGTTTTACATATATCAGTTTTGTTTTATGAATCACCCTAACAACTTTTGAGGTAGACAGTATTGTGATCCTTATTTATATATGATGAAACTGCCACAAAAATAGCTAAGAACCTTGTCTAAGAAAGGCCATGTTGATAGTGTCCTTCATTTATTCATTTAGCTCACATATTTAAAGCTTTGTAATGCTGCCAAATTATACATAGACCCTCATGGAACTTACAGACAAGCATTGGAAGTAAAGATCCTAGGAAAGTAAATAAATATATATGTGTATTTACAATTTGTGATGAGTGCAAAAGTAAAGAGAACTGATTTGTGAGAAGAGAGACTGGAAGTAGGGAAACCTGTTGCAAGACTAGCAGAGGTGCAGGTGACAGACAAATAGCCACAATTTAGACTAGAGTTCAAGCTAGTGGAGAGGCATTGGGAAGCAGGGACGGCTTGAGAAAAAGCCTTTAGAAAAAGGCTTTAGAAAAAAAATTTGCTAATGTCATCAGCATGCTCTTCTGTAGTCCTCTGGAATCCTGGGGGAGGGGGAGATGGAAAGGGAAAAGGAGAGAGAGCCCTGTTTGGTTCATGTTTTTATTCAGCTGTGTCAACTGTGGCATAGGAGCAAGGTTTTGTCTCTAGCCCAACTCAAATGGATTATATTTTTATCAAGGCTTAACCACATCTTCTATATTATTAATAATATTAAAAGGCCAGGCACGGTGGCTCACACCTGTAATCCTAGCACTTTGGGAGGCCAAGGCGGGCTGATTGCCTGAGCACAGGAGTTTTGAGACCAGACTGGGCAACATGGTGAAACCCTGTCTCTACTAAAATACAAAAAATTAGCTGGGTGTGGTGGTGCATGCCTGTAATCCCAGCTGCTCAGGAGGCTGAGGTAGGAGAATTGCTTGAACCCAGGAGGTGGAGGTTGCAGTGAGCTGAGGTTGCACCACTGCACTCCAGCTTGGGCGACAGAGCGAGACTCTATCTCCATAAAAAAAAATATTCAGAATACCATCCAAGTTTTATTGCACTGCATGCTGCTGCTCTTCTTCAGTTTGTTTCATATTTTCTTCCCATGACTAGAGTAACCTATATCTGTAATAAGTAGTCAAATCTTTATCACAAAGAAAGTGGGGGACATCTGTGTTCTAAGTTCATCCTTGGATGTCTCATCTTCTTCTTGTCAGCTCTCAGTATTTTCTGCTACAGAATTTCTCAGACTTGTCCAGGTTTTACTCAATATCCTGACTGCAATTTGAGTTCTCACGCATGTCCTCCATGAATAAATTAATCATATAAATCCTACATTCAGCTAGTAAAAATGGGACACCAATGTGGTCTAAGACAAAAGAGAGCCCCACTTAGCTCTATGTTTAATAGATACAGAAAGCCAAAAAGATATAAAGCTATAACAGGGCATTCTCCTGGAAAATAAAAGGAAAGAAATGTAGTATGTCCTCGATTGTAAATAATGCATGTCCTCCCCCGCAATTTAATGTTGCTGAGATGAACATGGGTCTTACATTTGATAGCATCATAGAATTAAAGAAAGACAGTAGCCCCAACAGCTCTGACTCCAGACTCCTACACTGAAATGATGAATCCAGAATAAGAGCTCCTCTGTTTACATTGAAAGGCCCCATCATCAGAACTGATGACATGGTAACTGAGTGTGGAGTGTGTGTGTGTGTGTGTGTGTGTGTGTGTGTGTGTGAGAGAGAGAGAGAGAGAGAGGAGAGAGAAGGGGTGGAGAGAGAGAGAGAGGAGAGAGAAGAGGGAGAGAGAGAGAGAAAGAGAAAGAGAAAGGGAGAAACGGAGAAAGGGAATCGTGTGGAGGATGACTCACACTTCTGGCCCTAACTGTGCTGCTGGTAGCCAAGTTCAATGAGATGAGCTCCTTTGGAGGGGAATTAGGTTTGTAGGTCAAATGGTCAGTTCAGTTTTAGACTGTGTAGGGTGAGCTTTCTGTAGAACACCAGGAGGCAGTTGGATGTGTAAGTCTGAAGCTCATGAGAGGGGCCAGGACAGGGATGGATTTGAGTATTGGTAACGTCTTAGGGAGCAGTTAAAGCTGCAGTTGCATTTGCACCTGGTGCATGAGGAGTGCTGAGGACACATGTGATGATGAGTGATGAGCGCACACGTGATGATGGGTGATTTTCCTTTGTGATTATCCCCTTTAGAGGATGTAAATGCAGAGGCTGTCCTTGGGGGGATGTGAAGGAGTGGGAGTCGAGTGACATACGCCATACTAATTTAGGGTTGAATTTATAGTTTGGATTATCCGTTTTAACCCTAAGCATTTGATTACATTTATCAGAGAGTTTTAAAATCCCTGCTTTGCAGACCCCAATGCCTCTCTAGTACTTAACACAGTACATGGCTCATAGAAGGTGCTTAGTAACTAGTTGTTGGAAAAACGTTAAGGAAGACACTGCACCATAAAAATTAAATGGTGCAATTTTTATGTTGATGTTAAAACATCATCACAAAGCAGTATATGGTTAATGAATTAAAAATAAACACAATTCCTAGTAGCCCTAATCAGTTAGCCAATACGGGTCCTATTCTTTAATCTGACTTGTGGTGTAGTAAATAGCAGGCTATCTATTTATCAGCACGGAACCAGAGTGTCAAAACATGTTAAACATGAAGTAGGTCTTAAGAATTCAGTTTGAGTGCAATTTAGAAATTTTTTGGGAGGAATTTCTTTGCTTGTAATATTTTTCAAAAGTCAAACAAGGTATTACTGTGATTTTTGGCACCAGCTGTTAATTTTACATGCTGATGCCTTTTTAGATTCACTGTCTTCCAAGGTATCACAAGGTTTCAACAATGGATGAAAAGTTGCCAAAGCACTATCCCTGTATCACGACCACCATCTTAGCCTCAAACTGAAAATCTAAACCAGTGTCCTACCCAAATGGCTCTTTGCAAGGATACTGGCAATCAGAAGAGTTCCTCTTTTGGCCTCTGCTTTGGTTGGTAATACTTCCTCTGGGGAAGAGAAATAGCTCATAGTATAATCTACTAAGGCCCACAATTTCTTGAGTATTTCAGGCTGTCCTTTCCAAAGTATAAGGTCAGGGAATAAATCTCCACCACAGAATGTCATGAACGACATCAGCCAGAGACTTTGTGAAAAAGAACTGGCATTCGGCAGATATACAAAGGCAGACAAAAACCTAGACACAGATATGTATAAAAATCATGTCAGGAAGCCAAACTTAAAATACTCAAGAAATAAAAGCATTTGCTATGTAGTGACCTTAATGGTAACCTCTTTTCTTTACTAGTAGATATTACCAGCATAAATTAAAATCTCCTTGCTAAAACGGCATATTTAAAATCTTCAAGGTAGGTAGTGATTTGGAAACTCTGGGTGTGTATGGTTTTATCCCCTCAATTCCTTGCTGAGAGAGCTTTGGGGTTCATGTACTTTCAGTTTTAGTGAACATTTCTGAATCTACAAGTTCTGGCCTAATTTCTTGATTGGGAATTTGCATGTTATCTGCATTAAAAACATGTTAACTAGTGAATCCTGACCTTGACTTAGTGTACCCGAATAACTGGTTTCACATAGTTCTAACTTTTTGATAAGTGAAAACAAATGAGAAAAGCCTGCAATACAACTTGCTTTGAATGGCCATATATTTTGAAACTTGCTAAGGCTTGTATAAAGCAGACAGAAAGCTAAATCAGCCCAGCTCTGTATGACACTTATGAAGAAAGACTACTTGTTCCAGAAATAAAGCTAAATTTACTTATGCCAGAAAAGCCTGCCTTGGGAGCAGAGTCATAAGGGCAAAACTATTTGAGAATAGGGATGGACTATTTCCAGTATAAAAGTAACTTTCCGATGGCCTTCCTTTAAGACTTAGTTCCTCTTACAGTCTTACTCAGAATAAGGTTCCAGTTTATGGTGAGGAAAATTGTTGCTTCAATGGCTAAACTCATAGTTAAACTCTTCCAAGAATTTAGCTGGTTTGTGTGTGTGCTTTAATAAAGTGAGAATAATTCCTTAAATCATTGACTAGGTTAGATTTTGTTTTCATCTGTAATAGTTAACTTCATACATAATGGATTTGTCTGACCGATGATTTTCATTTAATTTTGATGTTAGTTAACATATATGCCTGATTGGGTACTGAAATGTTAAGAGTCAGTTTATTCGTAAAGAAAATGGTGTCCTTAAGTTTAGACAGCTTCATAATGGATGAAAATAGAATCTGTTGAAATTATATTATCTCTATATAGTATGAGAAAAATAAGCTACTCTTTTAATTATGTAGCTTCCTGGATGGAGCTCTGGGATATAAAATACATGGAGCCTAAGAGAACACACAGCAACTTGAGTCAGTATTGTCAAATGAATGTACAAATGAACAACAATAAAACCACATAATGAAAAGTTTTCCCCTCATTTAATTCTAATATGCTATAACACAAGTATGTTATTGGGAGTCTTTTCACATGTAATTAAACTATTGAGAGACAAAAAATTGAGTAAACTGAAGGCCAGGGAAGGACAGATAAAAGAATACTAAATTCCATAGAGCATTTTATCAGCTTACCACTATTCTCTCTGTAGTCTGATAATAAGATGAAAAAAATAGAGTACTTAAAGGTCTGGTGAAAGGCTGCATATAACTGAATATATCTTATTAATTAAAGAAGCAGCATTTTTATTTTCAAAATGTAGTTCATGCTTTTGAAAAATGCACCAATAATTTCTAACACTTGGAAGACAGCCACCTGCAGCTTTTCTGGTCCTTTCCGACCTGACCTACATTGTTAAATGAAGGCGTGCTTTCTAACAGGTTTGATATCACAACAGTTTGCTCTTTCTCTTTGCTGAGTGTTTTCACATAATTATTTAAAGGCATGTCTTTATCACCCTCGAAGTGCCAAACTCTTCTATGAATGACAATCCTCTGCCTCAGGATAATTTCTTATATGATGTAATTATATGTGGCGAGAGCTCTTGCAATGTTAATCTTTGAACTTTCTTGTATGTGACCCTCCCCTTATTCTGCTATAGGTATTCCCATTGCCCTAAAGAGAAATAGGTTTATAGCAGAGATGCAAAGAGATTTATAGTAGGAAGAATACTTTTAATTTGCTAGATATTTTGTTGAGAAGAGGTCTTGAAAATTAAAAATTCTGAAACAGAATTGATATTCTCCAGTGCCCTGAACTCACTGAGCTTTATCTAAGCTACCCTTATGAACATGCCCTTATTAATGTGCCTGGGGTCTCAGAAGACTCCTGACCCAGAGAGTGAGTTCCTTGGTCCCCAGAAGGACAGTGATGATGATGGAACAAAAAGTCACCAGGACTTATTCATGGAAAGGATTTGAAAGTAGAGAAAACTTATTCCCTTTAGGTTTCATACTAGTCTTCTTTGGCCTTCTAAGTGTAGGACAAAAAGTCAATTCCACGAGTGACTCTCACTCCCATTGGCCAAGAAGATATCTTAAAATAACAAGAAAAACATTGTACTGGGGCGATAAACATTCCATTGTAAATGAATTGCCCATTCTAGATTGTGATGAACATTCACTGGTGGCCAGAGAAGTCATGTTAGAATTGCAGATGCACAAAGGACTTCAGAGGTCACTCTCTTTCACATTCTACTCAACACCAGAATCCTCACTATACCACATATGACCTGGCATTTGTCATTGATTATACTTTCTCCTTGAATAGCTTCACCAGTGACTCCTCATTCATATGCCCATCTTTTTCATTGTTGATACCTCTGGTTGCTAAGATCTTTGTCCTACTGCCTACCACTAGTTTTACAGTCTGTATCTTTTCCATCTGGAATAAGACATATGCATTATGGAGTTGAGTTGAAGGCCCTACTTGTTAGCAAGCTAGGAAGGATTTTTTTTTAATTTAGTGGACATATATTTGGGTGGAATTTATTGCATTTTTGATATAGTATCCTATTAACACCTAAAGATCTATCTGTGAGAAAGAAGAAAAGTTATTGTCTTTTCCATTGATGTAGAAACTGAAGCAGAAAGAAGTAAATTTCACAGTATCACAGAATCAATGGCAAGGTTGAGAGCAGATGGCAGAGGGCCTTTTCAGTGGAGTGGGGGTTAAGAAGTGAGATCATAGTAAGAAAGCATGTCTTCTAGAATCTGGTTACGTCAGTCACCAAGTTGTTGCATTTTGGTAATATGGAATATGTTTACTTGAAACATCAGAAAAAGTGCCTGGTAAGGAAGGCTCTTTGAATAAATAAACTCTCATCACAGGTCAAAATTACCAAAAAAGAATAGGTTTCCCTGTAGTTGAAACTCCTTTGAGGGGCAAGAACCCTGTCCCTGTGGCCCAGAGTAGTTTCTGATGGTGCAATTGGCAAAGTTAATCCACAAACAGCAAAACTACAGATGTGGAGCTGGACAAAGCTCCTCTGAGCAGAGAGGATGGGGCGGGTTGACTTTTCGGTTGTTTGAGAGAGGAGAGGAGTACTGTGGAAGTCTCCAGAGGGTCTCTGCTTCAGCACCTCGTGAAGGTGATAGGGAAGGGGTGACCTCATTGCCCTGTCTGCCTAGAAGATGATATAGGAAGAGGAATGAGAGTTTTCTCAGCTTCTAGGACCCCTAGGAATAAGCATAAAACAGCTTTGCCCCTTCCTTTGACTCCCAGATACCTGTGTTTCAACTGGTGCTCATCAGATTCCCTGTTCTGTGGCTCAGGTCTCAGGAGACAGTGTTGTGCTCTAGAGAAGGAGAGGCTGTATCCTGGCCAGGGGGCTTTGGGGGAAGTGTTTGAGCCTCAGGTGAGAAGGCATTGATCTAAAGCTTGCCCATAGTTCCTTAAATCCTAGATAAAGATGAAGCTAGGGGTAAATGATGGCTAGAAATGGCAAGGCCAAAGTGTAGGACAGAGAGCAAATTGAGGGCAGAGCCAAGAGAACAGGGGGGTACGCAAACAGTCAAGGAGGGAGCACAGGGAAAGACGCTATGAAAAGCCAGAGCATTATTTCAGTCCACCTGGTGGCCATGAAACATGCTCTGAGAACAGTGGTTCTCAACAGGGGTAATTTTGCCCCAGGATCATTCGGCAATGTTGGAATATGCTTTGGTTGTCACAACTGGGGATGACAGGAGCGTAAAAGGCATCTAATGGGTAGAGGCCAGGGGTGTTGTTAAGAATCCTAAAATGGACTGGTAAGCCCCCCACTACAAAGAATTTTTGAACCTAAGGTGTTAATAGTCCTGAGACTGAGAAGTCCTGTCTTACCAAGTCAGCATACAGCCCCATGTTAACATTAAGGCTGGAGAAATTCCCATTGCTTACACATGGTTTTCTTTGTGATCGTTCCAGCTGGTCATTCCTTTCTGGGCTGAGCCTTGGCAGTGCATCCCGCATTTGGGACTGTGCCTGCTTGGATTGGTTGGATGTTGTTTCAAGATGTCACACCAGTGTCATGCTGGCCAGAGATGATCCTGACAACCATCCCTGCTCCAGGTGATATTAGGAGCGCCCCGGTCTATACTCTGGTTTACCTGTTTGTGTCTGACCCTCTCCAGCTCTCATCTGCTGACCACCAACTCTCCCCTTGCCTCCTGCATAACCTCCCTTTGCTTTATTTGTTTCTGAGATGACCATCCGCTTAACAGTGTCAGAGCTGACACTGATGTGGCCCAACCTCGCCCCCTATCGGATGTGGAAATTGAATTTCCTCTGGAGTGTTCTTGCCCAAGGTTGTACCATCTCTCCTATAACACAGCCTCAGTTATTTGAGAACCACAATGAGGCTCAGAACTCCGACTTTTGTGTTCACTAAGTATCTTCTCTCTCTGCGACGTGCCAGAACTGATGAGTGAGGGTTGGAGCTATGCTCTTCCTGTAAACTCTCCAAACTTTATTTGCCTAACTTCTGATGAAATGTTTGTATTTGAACCCTGCTGTGAAGATAGATATATACTTTAAAAGCCTATTGAAAAACACTGTGGAAAATCAAAATGTCCTGTGGAGAGAAGACACTTCTACTTCCATGAGAAAAGGAGGAAGCGTTGTGCAGAGCGGGTAGTGAGGGGTCTGTGGTTTTATCGACATCCTGACACGGATTGAGGGAAGTGCCAACATAGCTCTCCTAACTTCCCCCGGGAGGGCCCATCAATCGAAATGAGCTCTTGTGCATGTGATTCAGATGTCACTGAGTTTTCTGGTCTCATTCTTTTCTTGGAAGGAAGGAGGGCTCCAAAACTGGGGATAGGTTATCCGTGCTCTGAGTCTGAGAAGGGGATTTGGGGGAGGCTTAAGGTAGAAACAAAAGATCTCAGTTTTGCCATCCAAATCAACCCATGGCCAGATCAGATTTAGGGTAAGAAATCTATTTTTGTGCTTTGGACATTTCCCTCATCTAATTGTGTGTGTGTGTGTGTGAGAGAGAGAGAGAGAAAGAAAGAAAGAGAGAGAGAAAGAGAGAGAGTGTGTAAGCAAGCGCACCTTGGAAAAATTTGAATATTGCCAAGTACAGGGGGAAAGATTTTTTTCTTTTTAAACTTAGGTCAGATAACTAGGACACCAGAGTGCCCTGAAGGGTGGGGCTGGGGGGAGTAGCAGGCCTTCCTTAGTATCCTTGCACGGGAAGGGGTCTTGGGCATGTCTGGCTCTTTGGATGGTGCATTTTCACATTGTATTCATTTCCACAGGTTTGAGCTGTGCCTTTTTCGGCTTCAATCAGCAGAAATAGATTTTTTTTTCTTTTTTCTGGTGAATAGTTGACAATGTAGGGGAAGTCAAGTTTTATAGGCTTTACTCTGTATCTCCACACGTGCCTGTTTTTCCCATACAGGATACTTCAACTTATGAATAGGCTATGTTCCAGAAGTTTATTTTGGATCAGGTTTCTGAACCTGAACAGCATGTTAATGGGCTTCCAGGGGCTACTGAAGTTCCCGAGAGTGCGAGCAAAATTTTGCATGTTGTGTGCACAGTGCGTATTTTCTGGTGAGGAAATCCACAGCTGGTATTGAGTTCTGAAAGGAGGCTTTGATTCCCTGGTGTTAGAAACACTGGTAATCAGCTGTTTGGAGCTTTTAATGCATGATTCAGAAATGGACTCTGCCCCAAGAAGCTGAAAGCCTAGCGAGGGAGATAAGACACAAACATAAATAGCTCTAAAGGTTTGACAAAGTGTTCTGGACGTTTTGAGACAAAGGGATGACTTTGGGCATCAGGCAGCAAAACGGCTGCTTTTTTCAGAGAGAATCAGGTGTATGCATAAGACCGTATGAAGGGCGTGACTTTAAAGAAAAGGGGCCCATTCATACGTGAGACATTTACAAATTCGTTATTTGTAAACCTTTGCCTTGATTTGAAGATAGCCAAATGGTGTCTATGGCCACAAACACATTCTTTGCCAAATATAAACAACTTCAAAATAAAAAGCGATGCTGATTTTACTGTTTTCTCCTTTAGACCACATCAGTCTCATTTAAGAATACGTTAAAAGCAGACGTTGGATTTCACTTTTTGGCACTGTAACTGGACGTGCTATCATAAAGTCATATCTAGGCAATGAATGGAATGTTTTTCCTTTTTTTCAGTCACAGCACGCCTGGAAATTGGAAACAAAAGCAGAATGTCCCTGAGGTCCCCTTCTATTTATTCCTCCTGAGGTCCCCTTCTGTTTATTCCTCCTGTAGTCTAGCTTGAAGTGACATTCTCTGACCACTAGATGGCACTCCTGCATAGGCGAGCCGAGCCCGGACTTACCCGGTTTACTAAGGGCGGGGCTGCAGTCCCCCATGACTCCTGAAAGTGATGGCTGAGCCTGATAAATGAACTCACGGAGGCAGAAACTCAAATAGAGTTGTGTAAAAGAGACTTTCATGAAATCAAATCGATGATATTTGCGATGACAAAATGCAGGAACTGCTTGTCTGCTTTTCACATTTACATTTTTAAAAATTTGAGATGCTTCCGGCATGACTGTCGCTGGGCCCTAGGTACGATAGATAAATTAATATACACAAAAATGAATTCTCGCCTTCCTTCAAAACTGGCTGTTCTTTTACATTTCCGTTTTTCTTAGCGGGACCGCCTGTTTTCCAGGTTCCAGAGCTGAGTGTTTTCTGTGCTACATCTTTGATTTTTCTCTCTTCCTCTCCCCTATTGTACCATCACGTCCTGTAGTTTGTTTCTTTAAGGTATCCTCTGGGTCCCCTGTTTCCTCTTCCATTCCAGTGTCATAAAACCTCTGCAGTATTTAAAAGTATATAATACAATTATTTAAACGATCATAAAACCTCTGTGGCATTTAAAAGTACATAATACAATTATTTAAATGGTAAATAAAATTATTTAATAAAATTACTTAAATAGTAATTACATCAAGGTTAATTCAGTAGCCTTTTAGATGAACTTTAAAAATCATTTTCAGTAAGGAAAACTGTCACAGCCTCTAAAATATAGTTTATTCAATCATTTACTCATTGATTAATTTCATCTACTCCTTTAACAAATTTCATGAGCTCCTCTTCAGATACTGTTTTAGAGGCTGTGTCAGACTAGGAAGGATTCCTTAAAGATAATGGAAGTGGGTTACTACCCTCAAGGAGTTCCTGTGCCACTTCTGTACTCAAGAATATATGAGTCTGTAGGACCTCTGGGGAAGGGAGGAGTGACTTGTCATGTCGTGAGCTGCCTTGAATGGAGTGAAATTTTCCATTGTTGATCTGTCTATACTTGCTGTTTTGTGGCTAGCAAACTGATTTGCTGTAACCTTGTCTGCTTCTCCAACATCATAGGTAAACAATAAATATATGTGGAATGAATAAGTAAATAAAAAGACATGACTGCAAATTATTCCGTAATTTTCATCACGATAATCCCAAATAGTTTAATAATATGGAAACCTTGCAAAACATTAGTCTTTAAATATTTGTCGAAATTTCCTTAGATAGCTCTGATTATTTCCAAGAAAAAAAATTGAGAATAAAACAATAAACATCTATGTATGCTGCTTTTTCAAATTATAACATTTTGTCATATTTGCTTCAGTTATTAAATAATTTAGTTTGTATTTTGATCGGATTCTATGTGCATGGAAAGAACAAAATTGTTAAAAACATATAATTGGTATAATAAACAATACCACCTGAATCCCCCTTGTCATAATTTCTTGCTCGTCAGAGGCAACCCATTTCAAATATGTTGCTATTTGCTTATTGGACTTATAATGCTATTTACTGATTTTTTTAGTTTTGATTCTCTACTATGGAATATGAGGATATAGGTGTTTTCATCCCTCTACTACTATCTATAAAATACTTGGAACCTCCCAAATTATTAACTATTTGAAATTCACATTTAAGTGGGTGCCCTGTATTTTTATTTGCTAAATCTTATAACCATAATCCCTAACCATACACATGAATACTTCCTGCTGAAACCTTTAAATTTAGTTACATTTCACTTTCAGCTTAATCACTCTTTGATCGTCTATGTTCTGAGGATCATGCAAATGCTAATCATTGTTGAGCCAGGTAACATATAAAATATCACTCATTTTGCTTCCTATTTTTTGTTTTTGTTTTCTTGGATTGAAAATTGCTTGGTTTTAGGTTTGCTCAATTTTCTTTGTATTTACCTAATTTACACTAATTTATCTTCTAACTTCTCCCATTGTGTAATTCTCAACTCAATATATTATCCAATCATTTCACTTCTCTGGACCTGCTGTCCAGCCTGTGTCTTGGGTTTCTCCCGTCTCCTTCCTCCTAGGATCCTTGCCATTGCTTTGCTATGAGTGATCTTCTGTCTGTCTCTGGGGTCCCACGTGTTCCTCTATATTTGTTTACTCCTATATTTTGGTGGGAACTCCATGAGAAAGCTTACTACCTGGATGGTAAATGGATTGAGAGTTTGCATATGTGGAAATGAATTTGTTCCACATTCACTCCTGATTATCCTTTTGGTTAAGAATAGTATTATATGTTGGGATTTATTTTGAAGGCACTGTTATATTACTTTCTAACAATGTTGCCGTTGAGAAGTGAAATGCCATTTGAAATCGGCCTTTTTTTTGGTCCCAGGTGTTCTGAAATTTTACAGTTATGTGTTTGCCCTAGCATGGGCCAATGTCCATCTGTTGTTCTAGAATCTTGATGGATACCTCAGCCTCCAGAGAAAAATATTAGAAAAAAAATTCAAAATTAGTCAACCAATAAATAACATTCATAACAAATTTCCACCAGAACGTCAACTTTTCTGTTGTTACCTTGAAATAATCAAAGTATAGTTTTTTCTTATTATGTAATATTACGCAGAAGGTTGTTACTTAAAAAATATAGTACTGAGGTCATTCCTAATAAGTATCCCAAATATTTTTGGAATACAACTCATAGTTTTTCCTGTCACTGCACACCCTCCGATCCCACTGAAATTTAAATTCAGTTTAAATTTAAAATCTAAAGTTCTAAAAATTAAACTAAAATTGTTGTTTTCCAACGTGAATCTTTGTGAAAAGCAGAAAAAAACACTAAACACTGGTTGTGGCCAAAGTTTACTTAAAATACCTGGTTTTGGCCAATGTTACTTAAAATACCTGAATTAAAATTTTTTTCCTGTTTGAAAAGCTCAGGTGTGACGTGGTGGCTCACGGCTGTAATCCCAGCACTTTGGGAGGCCGAGGTAGGTGGATCATGAGGTCAGGACTCTGAAGTTTATTCCAGTAGGCTTTTCAATTTTGGTTTCCTCAATAATTTCATTTAACCTCATTGAGTGCCACCCCTTAAATGGTTTCTTTTAGGAATAGCAAAATAATAAACTTCAAATTGCCTTGAACCTGCCACCTGGTACACCCTTGAGAAAGTCTCGCGGGCCAGTTCTGGTCGCCTGCTCCAACATGGAGTGTGACGGGCAGGAGGCACGAGGCAATGACAAGACCCATGGCACTCTCACAGCTTCCTGTTTTTCTTCCGTAGGAAAAACTTGAAGAACTTTAGAGAAATAATATATGTATCTAATAGTTGTCAAGTAGCTCATTACAATTTTTGGATATCATGAATGTTTAAATATTAAAAAGAACAATTTGAGGAAATCAGTCATATATTATTTTGAGGAAATTGCTTCGGCTGCATCAAATTGATAAAAAAGAATGGTTTTTTCCTCTAAAGATTAATGGATTTTTAGATGATTTCTGAATAATATCCTCTACAGAAAGTAAATAAACATCTATTTTCTTAGCAATAGTGCTTCTTATATTGATATAAGTTAGAAATTAGTAGTAGTTAATACCTTCATGAATAATGTATATTGCTGGAAGTACTGTAATGGTCAGTTTCACGTATCATATGCTGCCTTTTAAAAGTATATTTTATGGTTTGCAAAAGAACAATTACATTTTTTTTCTCATTGCTGGATAGCTGAGATAATTGATAAATATCTGGTAACATCATACCTTGATTCTGATCATATGGAAAAACTGTATTTAGCAAACATCTAGCAAAAGGTATTTTTATCATCAAACAAGATTTTTCTTTTTAACAGAAAACACATTTTTTTCACCTTCTTTTTTTCTCCATTATAATTATTTGAAATGTCTGCTGGCATGTAGCATTTGATTAGGGAATTTTTGAGAAGCAGTCTATTTGTAATAGGATCCTCAATGGAAAATATAAATATAATAATATATTTATACACAATTTTACATTTTATAATAAGCATCTGATTTTTTCGATTTATGAACTAAAAATAGAAAAAGGTACTTGGTTTTTTATAGTTAAAAAAATTGTTTTTTCTTGGGTAGATTTTGGCCTGTACCTTTCTTTTTTAAAACTGAGTTTTAGTTCTGGGTTATTTTTATTTTTTAAAGGAAACTGACATTCCCAGCAGAATTGCTGTAGTGGACCTGAGATTCTTTCACATCACTGCATGGGAATATTTTCCATGTCACTAATTCCCAGCGGATGCATTTCCCCACCTTAAATGGGATATTTCTAAACATTACCATTTCAACCAAAGTTGTTTGATAGCTCACTATTATTTACTGATACTGTCTAAGTCTTGCTGCCAACATAATCTTAATAAGTCATTACAAGTCCACTGGGTAAGCTGTTTTTCCATTTCTTAAGCTTTAGTGCCTGTGCTGTATGGATTTGGCATTTAATAAATCACTGTAGGGCCAGCGAACACATTATATTCCTGTAGTTGAGACTGTCTAGACAAAAGTGCATGGAGAGATCTTTCCACTCTAAGTAGCGGGAGAGCATTTCTTTGCCACAAATTGGTTCTGAATCAATTGCTCAGAAACTTGGCATATCCAGGCTTACTTGGATGCAGGAGGAGTGCAAGACTAAGTGCTGCATGGGGTGCTTTTCTGCCTTCTAGTTTAATTGAATAGCTGAGAAGCAGTGCCTAAGAAACAACGGTCCTGTGGGAGAATGGCTTACAATTTTACCCTTTTCAGATTCAAGAATTATTATACCAATTTATGTTAGATGACCTTTGTTTACAAAAATATCTGAAAGGTTTATTAAAGCTGAGTAAATGATACTATTAAGGGTGTGCAGCAAGAAAAAAAATGGGAAGGAGAGAATAGGATTTCTTTCCTGATAGATATATTATGTATGTATGTGTATGTTTATCTTGGTTCCCCCTGTGAAGCTCTTTTCTTAGAGAGAGAGAGAGAGGATGTTTCATTAGTGAGCTTTTTGAAGCACAGCTTTCTTTCCATTTTTCAGGGGAAACTTGTTTTAGAAATGATCAGGGACTGTGATAGAGTTCGATCTTGCCCTTTCAAGGAGACCACTAGTAGTGCTCTTAACTGTTGCTGTTCTTGAAGGTTAAATTAGACCATGGTAAATTTCTTAGCAATATAAGCGTCAGCATATCCCTTGAACTGTCCAGGCTATACTGTTGCTTTTACTAGTTCTATGTTGGTTCTTTTTGCCTCTCTGCTCTTGTCTTCTGGTTGTGTAACACCTAATATTCTTGCTTTGCATATCCTCCTTGATGGATTTTCTTAAATTTCAGGTGTTTCTGGCAAAATAAAAAAGAAAAAGAAGTATGAAAATAAGTCTAGAATCATGCAGATATTAATGACACCAATAACAGAGAATTTATATTCAGAAGCATTTGGATTATGTCTCTTAACAATATATTACCATAATATATTGGCTCTTTTAATGGATTTGAAGCTATTTGGTTTCATTTGTAAACAAAATGAAAAAGAACATTCAGCATGGATGTCCATTACCTGAGAAGTGTCCACCCTAAGGGTGACTTATAAAGTCCACTGGTTCAGCTGAATTCAAATTTAATTGACTGTTTTATATATGAACATATTTTTCAGCCTAAAGTATTCACTTGTTGTGAATGTGACTCAAATTCCACTTTCATTTTTCACTTTTAATTTTGAGATAGTTGAATGTTGAGGAAATAATTGGGTAAGTAAATAAACGAACACATTTGAAGGCAGTAATTGGGCAGCAATGACATTCAAGTTTAATTGCCAAGTTACCTGAGGGTAGAATACACATCTCCCATCATGAACATTGTAGGTACTTCTGGAGATTTAGGCAAAAGCAGAAATCAGAGGCTTTATGTCCTGCCTGGAATAAAGTTTTTCAGCAGTGATAGTAGAATTCCTCCTGATTTCACTAAACAGGCTTAAATTCTATAGTTTCTTGAAATGATTATGTATAGGGATTCTTGCGTTTCTGTCCTTTAGGTCTTTGACTTTAAAACACTACTTAATCCAAATCCATAAATGCTCACGTCATCTTCTAGCACTGTGATTATGCTCATCATAGCATGTGATTATGCACCCTTATGAATATGATCTCATGGAAATGTGACTGCCTGTCAGCATGTTTGTGTTCATAGCGTTAGCATCGTCTGGAGGCAGATTGGATGAGTGTAGGTTTGCAGTCACAGAACAGGTGTCCAGAAGGCTTCTCTTGTATCCAAGTGACTATGTGATACATCTTTTACCAAAATAATCTCTTTGGAGTAAGTTTGTCAGACTTCATTTCTGTAACACACATGAGGTTGGGCCAAGAGAAGGTCTCTAAATCTTTGGAAAGGGGAATGGAAAACGGGGACAAGAATTTCTGAAAGCATTAATTGGTGGCAGAGAAAGGCAAATTGAAGGAGTAAGGGTCCTTAGGAGGAAATTTCTCTTACTCTGTAGCATTACCTATGGCTAGTCATCGTTACTTAAAGCAACATTTCTTGCCTTGTCTCATTTTTAAATTTAGAATTCTAGTTCTCCAAGTGCAGAAACTTAATATTTAACTCCATAAGCCCTAGAAGGAAATATTGCATTTTTATTCTTTGTAATTAATAGTTAAAAATCAAACTCTTTTACCACCGATATCAGTAGGGTAAAAATTCCAAAATTTATTTTTTCTTTCAATGTTTAAGAGAAAACATTGAAAAAAATCCTATAATAAGAAAATATTTCTTTAGAAGTAAAATTTAATAATACTTTGGAAAACATTTCTTTTTTCTCTTTTCCATATGTTTTGAGCATATGGATGCCTGGAATAAATTCAACCTAGAGGCCATTCTGAAAAGGCAACAAAACCAAAGAATTCTTCTGTATGATTGGCAAATCTCAAGAGTGCTATTTAGAAGGATGCTAATAATTAAGGATGCTTCTGCAAGTTTGGGATGCTTATCAAAATCTTCTTTCTGCTGCCAGCTGAACCTGAGAACACTTTGGCCTAGCTCCGAACATTGGCAAAATGGTTCTTTAGTTCCCATTAGCCCCCTTCTCCTCCCTCTGTGATCCTCTCGCATGGGGACTTCTACTACTAAAAGGGCACATCCAGACTGCCCTGGGCCCCTGGATCTCACCTTTTCTAGCTCCTAGGATGCCACCTCAAGCTCACCTCTTTACCTAACCCCTCTTTTATCCTATCTGCTCTCATGCTCAGATTCTAGAAGGTATAAGGCAAAAGTTCACTCATATTCTATTATAGCACTGTCCAATAGACATATAATATGTGCTGCATTATGTAATTTAAACTTTTCTACATTAAAAAAGCCACATTAGCCTGTAATCCCAGCACTTTGGGAGGCTGAGGCGGGAAGATTGCTTGAGCTCAGAAGTTCGAGACCAGCCTGGGCAACATGGTGAAACCCATCTTTACAAAAAAATGCGAAAATTAGCCAGGCGTGGTGGCATGGCTACTCAGGAGGCTGAGGTGGGAGGATTGCTTGAGCCCAGGAGGTTGAGGCTGCAGTGAGCTGTGATGTCAGCACTCCAGCCTGGATGACAGAGCAAGACCCTGTTTAAAAAAAAAAAAAAGCGAAGTTCTGTTAGAAAAGTAAAAAGAAATAGGTGAAAATAATTTTATAACAGATTTTTACAAAACCCAATATATCTAAGATTTCATTGCTGCATGTAATCAATATAAACATTATTAAGACATGTGCAGAATGTGCAGGTTTGTTACATAGGCAAATGTGTGCCATAGTGGTTTGGATTGACCCATCACCTAGGTATTAAGCCCGGTATGTGTTAGCTATTTATTCTGGTGCTCTCCCCCAACTGGTCCTCCCCCGACAGGCCCCAGTGTGTGTTGTTTCCTTCCCTGTGTCCATATGTTTTTGTTTTTCAGCTCCTATTTATAAGTGAGAACATGCGGTGTTTGGTTTTCTGTTCCTGTATTAGTTTGCTGAGGATAAGCAGCACTATTCACAATAGCAAAGACATGGATGCCCATCAATGGGCAACCCAAATGCCCATCAATGATAGACTGGATAAAGAAAATGTGGTACATATACACCATGGAATACTGTGCAGCCACAAAAAGGAATGAGATCATGTCCTTTGCAAGGACATGGATGAAGCTGGAAGCCATTATCCTCAGCAAACTAATGCAGAAATGTTTTAAGTATTTAATAACTACACGTGTCTAGTGTCTACTGTATTGGATAGCACAGTTCCTTAACGTCCAATCAATCCACAGGCAGTTTGAATAGGAGAGGGAAAAAATCTCCTCCTCTGATGTCATTTTTGATCCTTCCAGGTAATATACGATTGTTTTGTAGCAGTTTCCTGGATATAATGCACGTGCTTCTGTTGTTTAACCAAGAGACTTTGGTGAGGACTTTCTGACAGATAGGATTTCAGAGGAGAAGGATCTCTGTTGTAGCTGCATGTTTATTGTGTCTAATCCTGTGGTTTTGTAGATCTGCCTGAAGATGGGCCTTGGTTTCTACTCCTTTTGGTGTGACTCTGTGACCCAGGCTCTTCTTAGGAAATTAGAAATGGATCTTAGGGCTTTGCTGTGGCATGCAGCATATGAATTTCTAGGCTTTGGGGATTGTTGGAGTTATAGTTTTATAAAAGATCTGATCAATTTCTGATCCAACCTATTCAGCCAAAACCTAGAATACCAAATGGTCCAGGTCCTCAGAGGGGTGGAGTTGTTATTGTTCAGGTTTCAGAGGTAGATGGGAGAATTCCATTTCTAGCTGCTCCACTTTCCCTGCCCTCCATCTATTCAGTTTGGAAGGTGTGTCTTATTGTACTTTAGTAAAGTGAAAGGGGAACGATGATAACCTTGAGAGGGAAAAAAGACAATATCAGAAAGTAAGACAATATCATAAAAAAACAAAAACAGTGTTTAAAATAATTCCCTAATGCATCCTCCAAAGCAAATTTAAACCTTTATGCAAAGGAGTAATTTAAATGATTCATAGTAAAAGTCGAGCAAATTTATCCAATCATCAGTCAGTATGCCAAATGATGGTGTTAGAAGAATTGCACATCAAAGGGGAAAATCAAGTTAGTTCACATAGCAACTGGGTTGTTATCCAAATTGAATAATCAAAATGAGAAAAAGTTATGTCCTCCACAGCCATAAATCAACAATAGTGGGCTCTACTGCATTTTTAATTGGCAGCATGTTTCCCTTTGTACACCCAAATATGGATTCAGGAAGTATCTCTTTAGCTGTCTGGGCACTTTTATAATGCTTATCATTATAAAACTGCAGAATCAAGGGAAGTAAAAAGGGGACCACAAGAGACAAAAGCTTTTGTGTGGATTGTAAATTATATGCATTAATGTCATTAAGCCTTTACAAAATTCGATTTCTATGTGGGTTTAAAGCCAATTTTTAAAGTCAACTACCCACCAATTAATGCAAAAATAAATGAGGGCTGTTATGAGACTTAGTCTTTAGCTTTAAAAAAGGTTTGTTTCAAATGTCAAGAATGGGTCTTAATGAATATTGGGATCAGTGAATGTTTCATAGCAGAAAAGGGAATTTCTGAATATGAGAAAAATCACATGATCTTTTATTAAAGACAGTAGGTATGTAATATAGAGAGTTTGAAGGACTTAGTATTTTTGATATTTGCTTTGAAAATTAGATGAAATCCATACTACTGTTAAAACAGTCATCTTCTTGAAGCTAATTGGGTAGTGTGCTGCAGAGACTGAAGTGTTTCCTTATAGCAAATATGCTAATACTCTGAGAATCCAGGACATGCCTCTTGGTGTTATAAAGGTTTACACTGTTGCCCAGAGGTAAGGAGCTGTAGCAGTGGTCTCCCACACATGTGCTAAAGTGGCCAGAGGAGGCCTTACCTTTGGAAGGAAGGGGTAAAATTGTAAGGTGTCATTATCCTCCTGACTCCCCAACCTGAGCTTGTAGACATCAGCCATTATGTCTCTAACTCAAGGATTTCATCTTAGGAACCGCCTTAGTGTACAGTAAAAGTTATCCTGATTTGAATTTATAAGACTTTTCAAATTAGCGAAAGTGCAATGAGATATTCTCCTGCAGGGTGTGCAAATGCAAACCCTCAGTGAGCCAAGCAGGAGACTTAATTTAAAGAAGATGAATGAATATGAAGGCCTGGGAGGAAGTGATCTTGCTACTTTGAGAGATTATGCCTGTCTAAGGGGTATTCACTGATCAGGTACAGCTGATCATGGCTCTTCAGGAATTCTTGAGAGATGTCAGGATTCCAGATTTTTATGTGAAATTGCTTGATTTTTTAACGTTGGCAAGAAATTCAAATTAACAACCCAAACAGAATGAAATAAAAAAAAAAAACTTTTTGTGCATCAAACAAAACCAGCCTGTGAGGCAGGTGCAATCAGATAGCCTTTGAATTGCAGTCTCTGTTTTATTGCTTTAAAAAAATCTCTACATTCATGAGAAAGAAAAATTCCATGATCACAATTTTCTTTTTGAAAAGAGTTTAGTGCCTTAAAGTAGGCCTTAATTACTCATCTGTTCTTATTTTATACAAACCCTGTTCTGGGTCCATTTTACTTTGGATTGAATATTTTCTGAGCTGTGAAATATACTCAGAATCCTTAGTCATTTAAGTTCTGCCTTGAATGTAGATTTTATCATAAAGCTATCTTTAATTCCTTTTCCCTTAAGCCATCTCCATGTATTTTTAAAAGCTCATCAATATAAATGTTTGTGTCTGTCTTATTTGTTTCTCATGTTTAGAAGGGGAAAAAGGAGATTGATTACAAGGATCATAAAAGTAATGATGCATTTAATGAAAGCATGTATTTTATAGATAAAATAAACTTTAAAAAATAACTTGAAGCTAGTACCCAAATTAATGTAATGAAATGACCTTCAGAAAGTAATTTCTTTATACTTGGGTCATTTTAGCCCTTTTCTTGTTTTTATTTATTTACTTTTAATTTGATTTTCTGTTTTAATTTTGATGACTTTACCCTAGTTATAATACTCCAGATTCTCTATAAAACTTAAAAAATTTCTGATAAGCCTTGTAAATTTCTGAGTTTTATCATAGTTATGATGGTTTTAACTGTATAAAATCTGAATGACCTGTTGCTTCGAAAAAAATGCTTATTACTATATCTATTGCATACCCAGTGTAGTTCAGGCAGTGTTCTAGGCACTAAAGTTCCTGTTTTCAGGTAGATTACATTCCAGTAAGGGATATAATCTACCTGAAAACAGGAGGAGAAAGCCAATAAGAAAATAGAGCTGATTTTAGTTAAAATCCAGATTAGAAAATAGGAACCAGTGTATTCCAGTGGGGGAAAGCCAATAAGTAAATAGAAAGTTAAAATCCACATTGAAAAATAGGAAATAGTCTAGGACTCTTGATTGGGGAGTTTATTATAGGGAGATTTTAGAACCCCCAACAAGACATGGGATACATAGAAAACTAAGTAAATGAAACATTACACAGTTTTGTAGTTCAGAGAAAAAACAAAGTTGTACAAGAAAGGAAATACAGTTGACTCTTGAACAACATGGGTTTGAACTGCACAGGTCCACTTATATATAGATTTTCTTCAGCCTCTGCCACCCCTGAGACAGCAAGACTAACCCTCCCTCTTCCTTGCCCGCTTCAGCCTATTCAACATGAATACTATGAGGATGAAGACCTTTATGATGATCCACTTCCACTTAATGATTTGTAAACACATTTTCTCTTCCTTAGGATTTTCTTAAGAACGTTTTATTTTCTCTAGCTTACTGTATTGTAAAAATATGGTATATAATACACATAACATGCAAAATATGTGTTGACTATGTTATCAGTAAGGCTCCTGGTCAGTAGTAAGCTATTAGTAGTTAAGTTTTTGGAGTGTCGAAATTTATACGCAGATTTTTAACTGCCTGGGGGTTTAAACAACCCTTGCATTGTTCAAGGGTCAACTGTATAATCATAATACACCTATCTAATATTGCTTTGCAATGAACATTGACGATTGATGTCTTAGTCTGTTTGTGTTGTTATAAAGCAATCTCTGAGGCTGTGTAATTTATAAAGGAAAGAGGTTTATTTGGCTCATGGTTCTTCAGGCTGTATAAGAAACATGGCACCAGCATCTGTTTCTGGTGAGGGCTTCATGCTTCTTCCATTCACGGCAAAAGGAGAGGGAGAGCCAGTATGTGCAGCGATCACATGGCAAGAGAGTGGACGCAAGAGAGAGAGGGAAGATGTCAGGCTCCTTTAAACAACTAGCTCTTAGTGGAATGCTCATGGGAACTAATGGAACAAGAACTCACTCATTACTGCAAGGAAGGCACCAAGCCATTCATGTGGGATCTGCCCCATAACTCAAACACCTCCCCCCAGGCCCCACCTGTAACACCGGGGATCAAATTTCAACATAAGACTTGACAGGGCCAAACAAACCATATTCAAACCATAGCAATTAACTTAACAAAATGTTATGAAATAACTGACCTGAGAAAATTGGAAAGAGAAATATGGTAGTGGGGCAAGAGCTAAATTCTCATCTACCATAAAGGGAATTAATGGGTGTTGTCTAAACTTGCCAAACCAGGACATAGTTTAACATAATTATTTAGAAATAGGGAGATCAGAATTATAATTTAGCTCCAAGAAAAAGTCACTGCCCTGTGACATAAGTGACATAAGACCATGTAGTGGGGCAAGCCAGTGCTATCTTTTATTTTAAGCCTTTAGCATTTGCATATTTATTTATTTATTTTTTGAGATGGAGTCTCACTCTGTCACCCAGGCTGCAGTGCAGTGGTGCGATCTTGGCTCACTGCAAGCTCCGCCTCCCAGGTTCACACCATTCTCCTGCCTCAGCCTCCCCAGTAGCTGGGACTACAGGCAACCACCACCACGCCCAGCTAATTTTTTTTTTTTTATTTTTAGTAGAGACGGGGTTTCACCATATTAGCCAGGATGGTCTCGATCTCCTGACCTCATGATCCGCCTGCCTCAGCCTCCCAAAGTGCTGGGATTACAGGCGTGAGCCACTGTGCCTGGCCTCATATTTTATTTTTAATAAAAATAATAATTCTATCTCTCTGCTTAAGTGTCTTTTAAAAATGTCACAAAAATCCTAAAAAAGATGATTCATAAAATAGTTAGTTGATACCTCTCTTTTGACAGTGTATTTCTACCTCATTTGACTGTTTCTTGTGGATTTGCCTTATTTTTTCGATGAGACCAGAAATTCCCAAACATCTGTTTTCTTGCATTGTCACAACAGTGGGAAATAACTCCTTCATATTATTAGGTCCTTTAAAATGGAGGCTCTTAGTTTTTAAAAAATCTTTGTAGCACCTAGTAGGCACTAAATTTTTTTTTAAATTTGTTAAATGTAGTTAAATGATGAGTTATTGTAAGTTGGCATTAGGATACAGAATAAAAATTCACTTTTAATTAGATGCCCTAATTTTCACTAAGCCAGGAGATGGATAATATGTTTTAGACTCTTTGGCCCTTTCTTTCTTAGTCTTGTCTAAGACAAAGGAATCTAAACAAACTATTTCATTTCACAGGTAAATTGATTTAATGGTCAGGAATGCATTTGGTGGCCAGTCTTCCAGGGGGCCCATGAAAGTTCAGGGTGAGTTGTATGATGATTGTTTTATAGTAGAAATAAATGATTGATAATACCTGCTTTCAACTTCTCCAGGAAAAGGTAATATTTTTCATGCTTTGTATTGTCCGGCTCTAGGGCTTTAATGACAAATTTGTTCGAGTGCCCAAACAGGTCTAATGCCCTTTCTGAAGGCAGTTTGGTGCTGCTGGAAGGTACATTGATAGGACTCCATTAGGACAAGGGTGTATCTGACAAAATAATGTTCATATTGTCCCTGGCACTCTGTGGGTGGATCTCTGCCATTTGTTAAGGAGTTTCACCTTTGGTAATTGCATACTTACTCATTCACACTATAAATATTCATTGACTCCCTTCTATATGCTTGGCATTGTGCTAGGTACTGGGGTTATGGTATAGGAAGCAAAACATGCTTTTGTCTATTAAAGAAAGGCAAACAGACTATGTATAAGAAGTACCATAATTGAAATTCCAGAAAGAATGCTTGAAAAACATGATTTCTATTCCACTCTAATAAATCTCCTATAGTAGAGTTTCATGTTTCAGGTGGCTCATAACTAGAAAGATATTTCTGGTAAGGAGGCTTTTAAATCACACCTCCATGTCTGTTGCTGGTATCTAAAGCAAACTGATATTTCAGTCAGCAATCCAAAGCAACTGAACTTCAAGAAAAGGGCCAGAAGATCAATGCTGGGAGCTCTCTTCAGTGGCTTCATGCCTAGCATCTATTTCTGCAGAATAGACTCTCTCAGCTGTCACACTGGGTCTAGTAGGAGATCTAGAAACCTTCATGTCTGGACTGCAATACTTCAGCTGTAGGTAGAAATGCCTTCACAGAATCAGGATTTCACACGATGTCTCTGACTTTTATAAAAGATGGGCATAAGGAAGCCTCTGAGTCTTTTGTAAACTTACATTTGAGGCTTAATCATTAACATTTTCTTTTTTCTTCCCTAAAAATACAGGTGACAAATTTATTTGGATATTGAATTCCCATTTAGCAGGAGTATACCTGGCTCATGGTAGTTGCCACATAAGTATTTGCTGAATGAGTGGATGAATGAACTAGTATATATTGAGTCTAGTATTTGCTAGAGTTTGTGCTAGGTGATTGGTGATTGTACATGTTATCTATTAATTCCTCTGGTAACACACTTTTATGTTTTAAAATCTTTTAATAAAGTAAAAGTTTTATAAATCATTATGCTTCCGTTTTTGCCTTTCTGAAAGAAATATAATTATTTCGCTACACTCAATTCATAGGCAGAACTCCATAGCCTCTTACAATCTCCTTTTTCCCTCTGCCCCAATATGTGTACATCACACACATACACACACATGCGCTTGTGTATGCGCAGCTTCTCTTACTCTGCTTTGTTTCCTTTTTGGAAATAAACGGAGTATGAGTAATAAATAAATGACTATAGGAATACAGATGGTGCATTGGTGTTGCAGATCTTTAATTCTGCTGTGATTATTGTGATAAGAGATTGGTTTAGGACCAACTTTTAGCCTTTTTAAGCACATATCTTTGGTAAGTGTCATTGAAGCATACAAATAGTTCTGTGATCAATACCAGTTAGCTTTTTTTTATATGAAGGAAATTTAATCATTGGCCATTAGCGGTATATATATTATTTGCTCTTATTTCAACAATAAACATGATGTCATATATGCCATTAGGCTGTATTTTTCATCGAATATTGAACTGTTTTACTCTGCCCATCTCATAAACAGAAACAATTAGCGTGATCATAAAATATGTAGATTTATTGAATGTAGCAAGATGCAATAATATTCCAAATTAGACTCAAGCAATTAAATCTTTTTTTTCCTTTAATTCAAGTCTACTGAGTACAGAACTGGGTTTTCATGTGCATAGAAGCTTTACAGTATTCTTTTTCCTTCTTGTCTGAACTCCCCTCCTTTGAAAAGATTTCTTTCAGTTTTGTTAATCCAAATTTAGTTACTTTAGTTCTAGAATTCCTAAAGTGCCTTAAGTTGAGCAGATGGCTTCCAAAATTCAAGAGTAGTAAATTTCACTATACATACCAAACAATAAATATGACATCAGTTGATAACGATGGCACATTTCAGATTGGAAATATTTTGTATTCTAAGGTGCCTCTCAGAAGCCACTTGATTTTTTTCACTTTGCAGACCCTTTCATCTTCTAAAAGTAAATAATGGTCCCAACATCCCTTAATAAACCTCCAGTGAATTTACAAGGGATGTTTTCACAATGCAAAGCTAAAAAATAAAAACACATTTTAAGGCATCTCTTCCCATAATCTGTGAGACACATAGTTTTAGAGAACCACAAATGTGTAAGTCCTTTCAGAATTTTGGGATTTGGGATTTGGAGGCAGCCTCAAATACTTTGTTTTTTATCTTCAATCACATTATGTGACGAGTTTAAAAATGCAAGCATTATTATTTATCTAGAAAAATACTGTTCTGTATATTGGGAGTGCAGACAGATAGAAGGAATTTCAGAGAAAGGGGTAACCCCTTTCTCCTGGGCATTGACTTTGAGGGATTGACTTTGAAATCTGTGAGATTCACAAATGAAAGCTTATGCCACAAAAGCTGCTTGTGGGTTGAAAATAATAGTGATTTTCAGGGTAAAATAAGCCAATAAGGAAGATCATCCAGAAAGTTTATCTTCGTCAAATCTGCCCCTGGGACAATAAAGATAACTGCTTTTCCTTTATTTTATTGGGTCCAAGCAACCATGTGAAAAGCTATATAATCACCGAGTAAATATTGATCATGCAATTATAGAGTAAATATTATGTTATGACAATATAAGTAGCAGATATCATTTCCGCCTCCTGAACTATTATCTTTTGATCATGTCTTAACATTGAAAATTAAATGGTGATTACATTTATAATATCTTTCAATACTCTTTCTGAATATTCTACCTGATAGTAGATTATATAGGTGGTAATGTTTTCTAAATTGCTGTTGTTTTATTTTCAACTTAATTTGGGGCTCTATGCAATTTCTTACATGGATGACCAAAATAATACTCTTGTAATGCTTTGTAGTTTTGAAAGGACTTTTACACATACCTTTTGTCAGATAGGCAACAGATAGATGACTCTTCCAGATCCAGATTAAAAAACACAAAAATCCAGAAGTATTACCAGAGTCATTTCATGCAGTTTATGCAGCTGAACTTCCCAGGTGGGGTTGGTGCATAATTTTCTGATTCTTTGGCTAGCACTATATCCACTTGTTCATCTTCCATCTGCAACAAACATGTAAAGATTACCTATTATGTGTTAGGCATTGTTTTAAGGGGCTGAGGATCCATTATGGCGACAAACACATTACAGAATGAAGGAACAGGCAGGGAACTAACAGATTGGTTGTAAGCTGAGATCCAGAAGGATCTGGCCCAGGGCAAAGCAGCTGGGATAGAATGGTAGGAATGTATGTGAGGGATATTTCATAAGATGGTTTATGGACATTTGTCATTCTTGTTGGCCCTGCATCAGTAGGACTATCAACTGTATATAAGAGCAACCTAGACCAAATAGGGGCTTATTTATCTCATGCAGTAAGAAGTCTGGAAGTCTGGAGAGCAGGGTGGTTCCTCAAAAATGCAGTCAAGGAACCAGGTTATGCTGTCCTTTGTCATGCTTGAGAAAACCATGGGGCCCCAGAGCTATCGACTGCGGGGGCCTGCCCCTTCCCAGCCATTGCTTATAACAATTATATGTCAGGGTTCAAGAGACTTATCTCTTTCAATATGCAGGACCCCGTGTTGTGAGTTTCTTAATGAAGCTAGGATTGTGGGCTTCAGACAAAAAGCATCTCCTTTAACAAAGTTGTATTTCCTTCCATCTCTGTTTGCAGACTGGTAGTTCCACTCTGGTTCATCCTTTTCTTTTAGGACATGGCTGAAAATAGCAAGGAGACAGCAGATGCCAACTTTATGAAGAATTTTCCTCCATACCTTCTAACACTACCACCCTCAGTGATGCCTGCTCTGCATTTAGCATCTATTAGGTTGGTGCAAAAGTAATTGCGGGTTTTCACTATTAAAAGGAATAGCAAAAACTGCAATTACTTTTGCACCACCCTAATAGTAGGTCACCCCAGTACATATTAAAGGTCAGCAGCTTCCTAGTTGTCAGTGAGCTAAGTTCATATTTTCCACTTTCAGTTTCCAGATTTGGTATTATGTGAACATAACACCAACATACATGTGACCAATGCCCTACCAAGAGCCAGCCTCATAATGGACAAAAAGGAGGAGAAAGTGGAAGAGATCGTACTGCTTCCATTTTCCTGGCCAGAATGGTGTTGCTGTAAGGGTTTCTAAGCAAGTAAGGTTTAGAAGACAGAAGGGGGTTAGACTGAGTGCTGAATACCTAGTACCTGCCTCAGACACATAGCAGCTGAACCTGTTTCTTATGTTTTCAATGCTCCTGTGGCTCAGTCATGAAGACTGAGCTCCACTGATCAGATCCATCCACCCAAGACATTAAACTGAACATTAGTGACATGAAGAGATAAGGATGGTATAGGATCCATTCTGGTAAGGGTGACAGTAGCAGTAGTAGCAGTAGTGGAGGGATCTGTACCCACTTCCCAGAGGTATCACATAGAAATGATAGTTCTAGAGTTCTGGCGGCAGCACTCTGGGCCCAGAGGGTGTTTGTGTGAGCTGCTGGAACTATGCCTTGAGGTGGTGGCAGTTGCATCCTGCTAGGATGTGTGCAGCGTGCACAATTTAAGAACTGTTCTTGGTTCTCTGGTCTCATTCTTTTGCTTTCCCAAACATTCTGTGAGTTACTCAGCATCACTGAGCAAATTATGATTCTATTGAAACTAACCAGAGTTAATTCAGCTTCTTGTAACTTAGCTCTCTGAAGGATTCAGAAGGATCAGTTTAGCTTGGTGGTTGCTGGAATGCAAAAGGACCAAGGACAAAGAGGAGGATAATATGACTTTTGTTCTAAGACTGGGTGGCTGGAAAAATGATAGCACCATTAATTAAGTTCTGATAGAGAATAACATGGCACAGAAGCTGGCAAGTCAGGCATGATGTGTTGTAGGACATCCTAGTGGAAAAACCTAGCAGACTGGTGATGACAGGGGCTGGGAGCTTGTGGGAGAAGCTAGAGTTAAGTATATAAAGGACCTGAGCTAGACCAGACTCTTCACGTTTGTGCTGGGCTAGCAGGTTTGGAAGAATGATAAAGAGGACTCAGCTTAAATTGTCTCCATCTCAGTTTTTTTTTATTGAAATAACAAACAAGCAAAGGATGTATGAGATAATAATACAGGTGAATGAGTAGACTCAGCTCCCAGGTGCCTCCTTGTTTCCTTCTGGAGGTGAGTCCACAATTCAGTGGTCAATGAAGTCCTCATGGAAAGAGAAATTTTCCAGGTCAAAGAAGGCCAGGGCTGTGTACTTACTGCTTCTGTGCTATTAGGCCTATGGATGTCTCATCTTAGCATGCTAGGGTCTACCCATCACCATATAAGACAAACCTAGCTGTGCCACAGTGATACACTTTCATGTCCTGTTTCCTAATGCATCATTGGGCCTACAGCAAGCCTGGCCCTGGTCCATCAGAGGAATCTAAGCATTTTGTTCAGCTGAAGTAAACGGCTATCCTGACACTAAAAGATAAGGCTGTGGTAATCTGCTTAGGACCTTGCTGAGGCATTAAACATTGATTAATTACAAAGAGGACAAGAGCCAGAGCAAAGAGCATCTCTATTAAGCTGGCAGGGTCTGTAAGTCTTGGACAACACAATAGTTGCAGTGACCCTGGGGCTTATTTGTTGGGGATCACAGTTTTTCACTTTGATTCACTAATGGCAGATCTACCAGCCTTGCTAGAATTTGTTAAAAGAGTTAAATTCTGCAGGTAAATATAATGCCAGGTGTAAAATATGAAAGAGGGCAGCTAAGACATATTCTGAGTTGCCCAACTGGGAGATAGGGTTAGCATACACACAACCACTGTTTTGGATGAAATGTTTAGAGTCCATAGAGTAAAATTTCATCCCTGCATATTCTAGTAATATTAGCATACCTTCTGGAGATGTTTCTTGATTTAATTCCCTGGAAAATTGCTGGCATCTTTCAGACAAACACAGTAAAGTTAAATTAGGTTCCACATTTAAGTGGGTATGGAAGAGCTTGGCTAACTGTTTACAGTCTGGGTTCACAGTTGGACTGCATTTCCCAGACTCCCTTGCTGTCAGGTATGGCCATGTGTGGAAGTGATGCGGGCAATTTTCATTCCTGGAACCATTCATGCATGTACTTCTGTGATCATGGAAGGAGCCTGGTCCCTAAATCACCACAGAGTGAAAAGCTGCTCGCTGACTAAGAACATTTATATCAGACTCTTTCATGGGTGAGAAATAAACTTTTCTTATGTTGAACTGCTGAGATGTTTGGGTTTATGTTTTCCCTTAACTAATGTGGATTGTTATAAAAATATCAACAATTTAAGGCTTTGTTTGTATTTATCTTGACTGTGTGAAGTTCACCCTGTGTTAGGTAAATCAAGACTCTAGTGACACATTTAATTAATCACCTCAAGTTCTTCTTGTCAGAACTGTTTACATTCTACTCTGACTGTTGGATTCCATTTCTCTGCGGTCTTTCATTCTACATCTTCAGGTTCATTAGTCACTTGGGTTTAATTCTATATATAAGATAAAAATATGGACTAGACATTTAATTGGTAGAGCTAACTACCTATATAAGGCTTTTAAATCTACAAGTTTATTCAGGGGTTATACATAGAGTGAAAAAATAAACTTTCAATGGCTAGGCTGAAACAGAGGTTATCAACACTGCCTTTCCACATACGTGTCATCAAATTATACGGATCTGCCCTACACTGACAATGCATCTGTTTTGCATATACTTTCTGAAAATATGACTTTGAACTCTGTGCTTTCCAAACTCGGTTTTAGAGAACTAATGATAGCAGTCTATATATCTACTAGATCAGAGACTGGCAAACTTTTTCTGTAATGGGTCATATGGTAAATATTTTAGGCTTTGTGGGCCAAATGGTCTCTGTCATCACTACTCAACTCTTGAAAGCAGCCTTGGACAATATGTAAACAAATGAGTGTGGCAGTGTTCCAAAAAAGTGTATTTCCAAAAACAGGTGACAAGACTTAGTCTGCCAACACCTGCATATCCAAATTTTATATGTGGATTAAGCCAAGTCATCAAAGAGCTTGTACCAGAGACTATTTATTTCATCCCTTTGGAATCTGGATTTTACTGAATTGTGCTTTGAAGTATATAACTCAGCTTCCCCATGAGAGTGTCCACTGTTTCCCTTGACAGTCTCGAAGGACATCCGGTTAAGATGGCCAAATGGCTTAGATTAGAGCTTTTCAAATTATCTATGCTTAAGAGACAGTTTCTTTCTTTTTAAAATTTATAATCTAGGCAGACGGTCATTAAAAATATGATAAAAATGAATTAGTAGAAAAATGAAATGCTGGATGTTGTAGCAGTGTCAGATTGCCGTGTGAGTTTCTAAATGATTACTCTCAGTTTCTGTATTTATCTAGTCACAGACCAGGAATTAAAAAATTGATTAAGACCTTGGTTAGAATAGGTATCAATGATATAGTAAAATGCATATAATTTTACCATAGAAAATGGAAAGGCAAGTCTCTTTTGGCTGTCTGCTAGGAGTAGCATCAGGAAGTGTCTGGCTGTTGGTAGATTGGGATCAAAGCTCACCCCACAACCAGCCATGCCAAAACTTGAGACATTTTGAGAGATGTTTTGGCAATTGTGTCCACAACAGTCAATATAACCCTCACCAGGTTGATGCTTTTAGCTAACTGGGAATATATTTTGCATTTTGTAAATCAGTATGCCTATTAGGGGCACCCAATTAAAAAAAAGTCAAGCATTCTAGAGAAATGGTGTATTAGTCTGTTCTCACACTGCTGATAAAGACATACCAGAGACTAGAAAATTTATAAAGAAAAAGAGGCTCAAGGGACTTATGGTTCCATGTGGCTGGGGAGGACTCACAATCAGGGCAGAAGGCAAAGGAGGAGCAAAGTCATGTGTTACATTGTGGCAGGCAAGACAAAGAGCATGTGCAGGGGAACCCCCCTTTATAAAACCATCAGATCTCATGAGACTTATTCACTATCATGAGAACAGCACAGGAAAGACCCTCCCTTATGATTCAATTACCTCCCATATCCAAATTATGGGAGCTACAATTTGAGATTTGGGTGGGACACAGCCAAACCATATCAAATGGTTAGAGATTCTGGATCAAAACAATCTCTTCCTTGCTTCTGGCTCTTGTCCCAGGACTTTTACCTAGTGCTTGGTGGTTCATTTTGGATTTGAAAAATCTTGAATAATTTTTTTAGCTTTTTTCTGCAGTTTTATCTCTAGTCTGGTTTGATATGATTTGAGCAACAATATAATCTCAATCAGGACAGCAACACAAATCCATTACTTTGATTATTATAACATAAACAAAACTATTTCTGAGTGTTTCTTATTAAAAACAAATAGAATTGCTTTAATTGACCATGAAATCCAAATTTTGGGCACTAATTAGCAACTTCATTCTTGAAAAGTCTACTGTCCTATGCTCTAAGCTAGATTGAATTGAAATTCAGGAAAGCAAGTAAAATGAACATGCTTATCATTCATCTTCTAGATTTCTTCTGAATTTTGTCCTTGGAGGTGTGGGAAGAATGAATATTGAATATTCATACTCAACATGAATATTTTGGAAGCTGGGCCTGAAAGTTAAGGTATGGTGCAACTATGATAGATTTAGAGCAGGGAGCCAAGGAAGATTCAAAAGACCTGGAGGTCGGTTGAGGGTTCCAGGTGAAACTGGAATTGAGACTAAGCAAACAGGCCAAATGACAGAGAGGTGAAGACTAGTTATAAGGCAAGAGAATGAATACCAGGTAGACCCAGATGGAACAAACAAGTTTGAAATGGAGGGTTGAAGGCAAAGGCTGGACAGATTCCTTGAAGTTCTGGAGTAAAGCTATAGGGTCTTTTTTAGAGCATTTGTATTTGGCCTGGCTCATGTAAGGGCCAGTCACTGTGAAGGAAACCAAGCCAGAATAAATACTTCATTTTAAAATTTAGACCACTAGAAAATCCTAGACCTGTACTATATTACTCTCACTGTATGAATAAATGCTTTAAAGAGACTATGATTTGAAATATAGCCTTGAATTTTTTTAAACTCAAGGGTGAGTATTAAAATAGCCAAATGGAGAATATTTCTGCATGCTTATAAACTTCTATTGAGCAATTGCTATTCTTTTCAACAATAAATTGCTTTTTGAGTTCAGAGTTAGGGAAAAAAGATCTCTACTGCTTTAACAGTATATTTTCTAGAAATGGTATTAATAACACAAAAAGCAATTATGTTCCTATTTCTGTTATATAATCTAGAGAGCTTATAGGACAACTGTCTAGAGCCACTTTTTGTTTAGAACTATTTGATTTGTTAGAAAGGCCTTTTCATCTTTGTTCTAATGGTTCAGGTATACTGCTTGGTGCAATGAGGGACACACAGGTGAATAAGATGTGGCCCTTGAACCCACAGAGTTGAGAGTCCATGGAAAAAAATAACAATAGGCTACTGTATAATACAAGCTGCTAAATGTGGTGACAGAAAAGTATATAACATGAACCAGGAAGGCTACACACAGGAGGTCACATCTGACCTAATCCTTAATGAACAAGAGCTCATCAGATGAAGCTGGGGAAGAGCATATTCTTGATACAAGAATCTGCATGAGTGAAAGAAAGGCGATGTGAGAGTGTGTGATAGAATAGGAAATGGATAAAAGTCCAGTATGGGAAAATTTAAGGATGGTCAAGATCTGAGGGATGTGTCTGGAGATTTGTTGTAAAGATAAATTTGGTCCTGGTGGTAAACCCTTGGCTACCTTGACAAGAGAAATTGAATGCTACCTCATTGGCCATTGTTTCCCCAGGTGTTGCATGCATCCAGCTTTGGGAAGTTAGAGTCAGTAATAACTCTGTAAGCTGGTTTATAAATGGCCACATTTTCACCTGTTGAATTACTGGCTCTTCTCTGTATGGCTGTTGACTGATGAGCTTGTATCATATCATCCTCATAGGTTCACTGAAAGCTAAAAATGAGATGAACTCAGTGAAAGTACTGTGGAAAGAGGCACCTGGCTGGATATTTGAATCTTCTTAACCCTGAGCTCTGCTTCAGTCTCATCTGTTGTGTTCATGACATGACTCTCTAATCACTATGGGCAATTGGGAAAATGGTTATTTTCAAAAAGAAATTGACTTGTCTCTTCGTAGTTTAATGTAGAAGCAGGTATAGTTTGGTTATGGTGAAATCTGGTAAGTTGGTCTTTGTGATAATACATACCTTTTGGTTTCAGAAAACATTGTATACTTATTTTCTATATGACTAATTTTCCGAGCACTTTTCATTCTAGATAATTTATCTTCATCCCCTAAAATTCCAGCAGAAACAATTCTTCCTATTTAAGATATCTTAGCAACTGGTACCCAATTTATCTAATGTATTCCCTTAGCCTCTAGGAGAAATTAAAAATAATCTGTGGAGTACTGAGTATAGTCTAATAGCAGAAGGGTACCATAGCCCATTGTTTCTAACTATTTGCATCATTTTTGGCAGGTCCAATGACGGCATCCACAGATGAGGCCAAAGCTTGAATGCCCTTGGAGCCTATACTGCTTTTAGGCCCTGGCAGAAACATGGTTTTTAAATCACATTCCAAAGTGCAATTACCAACAATGAATAAATACATCATAACAATGGGGGAAGCAGAAAATGACTTTAGAAAGACAGAGTGATCTTTTGAGACACAGTCTATATAATTCCTAGGAAGCCCTGATAGTATCTTCTTGGGAAATCTCCCTGCTGCAGGAAACTGCCTTCCTAGATTTTACCTCACTGCCTCTAGTTGCAGTTACTTCAGGTAAACAGACCTCCTTTTAACTGTGACTCTTCCTCAGAGAACCAAAATATGCTTTGTTTTTTCTTGGGCCCTATAGGATCCTGGTTTGGGATAAATCTCATATGTCTATTTTCCAAAGATCATTTTGGTTTCTCTGTATTTGTAAATGCACTTGATTGTAATCACAAAAGAAAAGACAGTGATGCACTGTGTTGGCTCTGAAGAAAAACATTGACCAGACAGAAAGTCTTCCCCATAGCCAAACTGAGCTGTAATGACCGTGCTTTTCATTTCTCCCAGGAAATAGTAATATAATTGGTCACTGTATTACAGTAAACAGTTTGTTCATTCTTTGTTCAGTAGAAAATGTTTGGGAGATATGTCTCACATAATATGCTGGCTTCACGATAATAAAGACTGGGAATAGATTTGTTTCTAAATAAATCTCAATAAATACATTGGTAAAATGAACACAGTAGGAAGAATAAACAATGCAATTAGGAATATCTTAAGTACATTTACATGTGATAATTTGCAAGTGATCATTACATTAAGACATGTCTTGGGCTGATTTTCTCAAGGGCATTTGTGTGAAAAATGAACATTTCTGAATTAGAATTTTTGTCATGGAATAGAAACAAGAGGTAAGAACATGTTTTCGAATATGCAGTAAAAAGATCACCTGCTCCTCTGAAGACCTAACACTGACATTCATCTTAGTACATAAAAGAGAAAATATGCTGAGGATGGGCAATGTAGGAGTAGGAACTATAACAGCAACAGCTGCAGAGGTGACTGTAATTCTAATGGATTGCTTGTAGTGACATCGGCATGCTTCTGAATTTGGCGGGAAAGTAATGCACAGAATTAAGACAGCAGCATTAGTGTTGTGTTTTCTTATTAGAAAACCTCAACAGCTCATTGAATGCAGGAAAATTTTAGAGATTCTATTTTGCAAGAAGCCAATGTAGTGGCTGCAAAAGTAATAACACCAAAATGGAATGCACTAGGGAATGTAAGCAGCACAGGTTGGTACATTAGTTTGAGTTATTCAGCCAGTCCCGAAAAGGGTAATATCCCATTTGAATGACAGGCAAAGGAATTCAGAAGGATAACAGTCATTTTCTTTATTGTTGTTATTGTTCTAGTTGCTTGTTTGTCATTTTTTTATTAGCTATATTAAGCTAAGGCAGCTTTTAAAAACTTATTTTGAATATCCTTTTATACAATTGTAAATCTGCACCCTTTCATTCATGCATTTTAAAAGTTATATTCTGCATGTTGAACAACCTGCTCAAAGCAGAGAAAAGTAACTTGTCCTTTAACTGGTAAGCCCATTGTAAGGCATCCTTGCACATTTAACTGGAAAATATATCTAAACAGCACTTGATAAAATTACAAGAAGTTGTATTTAAATTTAATTTTCTCTGCAAGTACAGTTAGCATCATTTTTTACCCCCACTGGTCTCTAACATACTATTTTTGAGGAAGAAAAAAATGTTTTTGCTACCATGGCAACAGTATCCTTCTCTTGCTTTCCATCACAAACTATAGTTTCTGAGCATAACTAGGGAAATTGAAATGTGGGTAGCTCAAAATGATAAGGCCAAGCATGGTAAGCATTCATCTAAATGAATATTTGTGTCATTGTTCTTGCACTCGTGGTAAGACTAGAACTTTCAAGGTCAACATATTTGTTCATCGTGTTCACAGTGGCACTCATAAAAGATTATTGCCACTTATTGGGCAACTACTCTCTTCACTAAATATCTTATTAGCATGATTTTCCAAAGATGATAGGAAATTAAAACACTCCATAGTACAGTTTATTTTGTGGTTTTGAGGAAATGTAATACAAAGAAAGGGCACATATTCTAGTGAATTTTATAAAAGAAATGATCTGCTACTTGACCTGGAGTGTGTGCTGGGGGTGTGGGGGGAGGAAATAGCAAAGGCTTATAGAGAAACTGATTGAGCTCATTCTGTTATTTGTTTCAGGGGTGACTCCAGGATGGTGCCTCTCTTTGTGATGTTCTCGCAATAACAATATTCTTTTTATTTTCCTTGATCTTTCACAGCCTGTGGATATTTCAGCTTGCAAGGTTAAATAATGTTTTTGCTCCATGGCCAGTTTTTAAAATCCTCCCTGGCTCTGCTATGACACTAGATTAAAAAAACAACAAAACAGCCTTTGTTTCCCATTGCTTGTGCTTCACATTTCCTCTCTCTTCAGTTTTTCCTTAATCTCTGTCCACATTGACTTTGATCCTTGAACTCTTTTGCCTAACCTTATTTGGATGGGCAATCAGATTTCAAACTGGCCAACCAGCCTGACCTTGGCACTTCCCCCAGGGAATTGCACTGTGATGCCACATAGCACACCTACTAGAGGCGATCTTGGGGATACTACCGTGTCTTGTTCAGACATTAAGGACTTCACCTGCTGACATCCTCTGTGCTCTCTTGGTTCAGCCTGTCTATGCAGGAGCATAGAAAAATGTCCTGTGGGTCAAAGACTGACCTGGACCTCACAGGAGATTTGCTTTCTTGAGTAGATGGCTATATATTTTTCTGCCTTGTCAAGAACACATCTTACCACATTTGGCAAATTCAAGACTGCTTCACAGACAAAACTGATGAACCAGGAGTAAACTGGAGTTTACACTCTTGCCCTTCACTCTACTTTGGTTTCAAAATAATTATTCAATTCCACCTTCATATGATTACATGTCCAGGAAATATATTTTTTGTTTTTAACTCTTGAATTGATTCTCTGTGTCAGAAATAAAGGGGTGCAGAATGCTGGTTTGAGAGTTTTGGTTATATGGCAGCAGGAATTGGCTCTTTACATGGCTCTTTTAATGGGCCTAGTTAGAGCCTTAGGAAAGGCTTTGTAGTGCCAAAACACCCTGGCTTTGGGTCACATTTTCAAAACTTTAAGTGCCATCTCTATCACTTACTAGGTCTATCACTAGGTACACTAGTAAGTTCTTTTTTTTTTTTTTTTTTTGAGACAAGAGTCTTGCTCTGTCACCCAGGCTGAGTGCAGTGGCATGATCTTGGCTCGCTGCAAGCTCTGCCTCCTGGGTTCACACCATTCTCCTGCCTTAGCCTCCCAAGTAGCTGGGACTACAGGTGCCTGCCACCATGCCTGACTAATTTTCTGTATTTTTAGTAGAGATGGGATTTCATCATGTTAGCCAGGATGGTCTCGATCTCCTGACCTCGTGATCAGCCTGCCATGGCCTCCCAAAGTGCTGGGATTACAGGTGTGATCCACCACGCCTGGCCTATTAAGTTCTTTTAAAATAAAGATATAATGCTTATGTCAAGGCTAATCTGAGATGCAAATGACAGAACCACAGTAGAGCAAGACCTAATATAAAGGACATATTTAATACATAACTTTCTTCTCTCCGATAGGACTGTAGGGGCTTGAATGGAGTTGCATAGCAATTGTATGTTGGCATGCTTCTCTTTGTTTCCCATTAGAGTATCTTCCATTTAATAAACTTTACTTTGTCCAAGACGGGACACACAGAAGATGCTAAAAAATTATTAGTTTTACAACATTGAAACAAATTGATACTTAATTTTCACATCAAAATTACTTAAGCAGCTGTGGTTAAGTTAACTTCTAGGTTAGAAGTTAAATGTGATATTAGAGCCTGAATGAATGAATAGAGTGGCAACCTTGGTCCCTTCTTCCACTGGCCTAACAACTCTTGAGGCAGAAGAGGGCATGTCTGAGGATGTGAAATGGCTGGCCTATGGCACAGCCAATCCATTCCTTTCAGCCTTCTAAGAATTGATGTGAATTGCAGCCAGATCAATTTGGCTGTGGCGATTGGTATCGATTGTGTAGATGGGCAAAAAAGAATGGATTTGCCATGTCATGGAATAGTTCATTTGCCTCTTGTAGATACTATAGTAGTCCGGAAAAAATTTCACAGTGGTGAAAATCAGGAAATGCGGCATCTTTTCATGATCCTTTCTTATCTTCGTCTTGCCTTGTGTGACTACTGGCTATATAGCTCCATGTAGATGCTTCTATGGGACATCTGAACGTGTTCTCAAACTCATCTTCTTCACTCTAAAATTACTTCCTAATTGTCCTCAGGGGTACTATCATGTAAGTTTGAATGTTCAAAATCTTCCTTAACTTACCTCTCTCCTTTGTCTGCCTTCTTTCCATTCCCCAAGCCCATTCTAATTATGCACCAGATTTGTTTCATTCTTAGAAATGTATCTTAAATTTTTACCAGTGTTTTCTATACCCTCCGCCAGCCCTCTTGTCTTGTCTGGAAACATTTATTCTACCTGCAATCCTGCTAAATATTGCTGTGCATATTCTCTTTTTAAAATGCTGCTCTGATTGTTTAATTCTATAACTTAGAAATTTCCCCAGCTTCCAATAACTCAGTAAAATCTTTAAGAACCACCCCTCTGCTCGATTGGGTGACTTTGAAAAAGATGGACATTTCATCTTCTGTACTTTCTTGGCAGGCTGGCAGGCTTGGTGAGGCAGAGATAGAGAGCAGTTCATCAAAATGCATGCTCCTCTTTCATAGCCTGGAATTGTCACCAAGTGACAGCCTAGCTCGGGGCTACATTTTCCAGTTTCTGCTTAAATCCAGGTGAGACCATGTGTCCAGTTCTCACCAATGGAGTGTGAATGGAAGTGATGGATATCTGTTCCAGGCCAAGGAGCTTGACAAGTGGGTGTATCCTGGCTAGATGAGAAGACTCTGAGGCCTTGGGAGACAGCGGGACTCCAACATGGAACGACCCTAGATACCTGAATCATGAAGTGGAGAAAATATACCAATCAGGAATATCTACATTGATCTATTACATTACCAAGAAACAAATCTGATGGTTTTACATTGAAATTTTGGGGCTCCCCACTACCACACTTTTATCTATGTCTTTTCATCTTCCTAGAAAACCCTGCTTATTCCTCTCTACTAATCTCAGTTTTACCATATTTATAGATTCAGTTCAAGCTTCATTGCTGTTTAGCCTTTCTTAATTATCCCAAACCAATTTGTTGTCTCCAGTCTCTGAATTTCTTCATTGCTTATTTTCCATATTGCTATGCAGTTCTTCTATGGTAATTATCTTTTTGTTCATTCTTCTAACAAATATATAAGTAAAAGTGTACTTTGTTTCCAATTATGACTAGAGCCAAAGTTGAAAAATATATATGTCCTGTTTTCTTAAACTTAGCATGCCTTTGTTGAAAGCAAAAAAAAAAAAAAAGTCTACTATATTCTTCAAAGTGTCTGGTGTGCAGGATATTATTATTTGAAATTGTTTTCGTTTTGTTGTTTAGAGTTGGTATTTTTTTAGAATAAGTGTGCTGATTTAATCAAGTACTTTGAGCACCTTAATAAAAAGGTCTACAGTGACTCTACGGCTGTGGTATCCAGAAGAAGTGAAGGTGCTACCTCTCAAATTGAAGAGAAAGATTCATTCATACCACCTCTATGGAGCAGGCTTGGTAAATTCCCAGAATTCCATCCCCTGGTTGGACTTCTAGGTAAATTTTACCTAAGCATGGCCAGGAGGCAATTAATATATGGCAGTCGCCATCGTCACAAAAAAGATTCGTTTTTTAAATAATGGAAGATTCATACTGTTTCCCCTTAGGCAAGACAGGTACCAAAACATGAATAGAAAAGTTGGGTTCTTCTAACTTCAACTTAAACTATCCGATTATTTTCCAACTATTATACAAAATAAAGTTGGTGGTAAGAAACTTGAGAATGTTGAAGACGAATGCTTTCTATATTTCATAGTTTTATGATATCTGGATACCAGTGCCTTCCCTCAAAAATGACTACATTATGACTCATATTTCCTTTTTATTTTTAAAAATATTGATACTTCTTTCTTTTTCTTTTTTTTTTTTTATTATACTTTAAGTTTTAGGGTACATGTGCACATTGTGCAGGTTAGTTACATATGTATACATGTGCCATGCTGGTGTGCTGCACCCACTAACTCGTCATCTAGCCTTAGGTATATCTCCCAATGCTATCCCTCCCTGCTCCCCCCACCCCACCACAGTCCCCAGAGTGTGATATTCCCCTTCATGTGTCCATGTGATCTCATTGTTCAATTCCCACCTATGAGTGAGAATATGCGGTGTTTGGTTTTTTGTTCTTGCGATAGTTTACTGAGAATGATGATTTCCAATTTCATCCATGTCCCTACAAAGGACATGAACTCATCATTTTTTATGGCTGCATAGTATTCCATGGTGTATATGTGCCACATTTTCTTAATCCAGTCTATCATTGTTGGACATTTGGGTTGGTTCCAAGTCTTTGCTATTGTGAATAATGCCACAATAAACATACGTGTGCATGTGTCTTTATAGCAGCATGATTTATAGTCCTTTGGGTATATACCCAGTAATGGGATGGCTGGGTCAAATGGTATTTCTAGTTCTAGATCCCTGAGGAATCGCCACACTGACATCCACAATGGTTGAACTAGTTTACAGTCCCAGCAACAGTGTAAAAGTGTTCCTATTTCTCCACATCCTCTCCAGCACCTGTTGTTTTCTGACTTTTTAATGATTGCCATTCTAACTGGTGTGAGATGATATCTCATAGTGGTTTTGATTTGCATTTCTCTGATGGCCAGTGATGATGAGCATTTTTTCATGTGTTTTTTGGCTGCATAAATGTCTTCTTTTGAGAAGTGTCTGTTCATGTCCTTCGCCCACTTTTTGATGGGGTTGTTTGTTTTTTTCTTGTAAATTTGTTTGAGTTCATTGTAGATTCTGGATATTAGCCCTTTGTCAGATGAGTAGGTTGCGAAAATTTTCTCCCATGTTGTAGGTTGCCTGTTCACTCTGATGGTAGTTTCTTTTGCTGTGCAGAAGCTCTTTAGTTTAATTAGATCCCATTTGTCAATTTTGGCTTTTGTTGCCATTGCTTTTGGTGTTTTGGACATGAAGTCCTTGCCCATGCCTATGTCCTGAATGGTAATGCCTAGGTTTTCTTCTAGGGTTTTTATGGTTTTAGGTCTAACGTTTAAGTCTTTAATCCATCTTGAATTGATTTTTGTATAAGGTGTAAGGAAGGGATCCAGTTTCAGCTTTCTCCATATGGCTAGCCAGTTTTCCCAGCACCATTTATTAAATAGGGAATCCTTTCCCCATTGCTTGTTTTTCTCAGGTTTGTCAAAGATCAGATAGTTGTAGGTATGCGGCGTTATTTCTGAGGGCTCTGTTCTGTTCCATTGATCTATATCTCTGTTTTGGTACCAGTACCATGCTGTTTTGGTTACTGTAGCCTTGTAGTATAGTTTGAAGTCAGGTAGTGTGATGCCTCCAGCTTTGTTCTTTTGGCTTAGGATTGACTTGGCGATGCGGGCTCTTTTTTGGTTCCATATGAACTTTAAAGTAGTTTTTTCCAATTCTGTGAAGAAAGTCATTGGTAGCTTGATGGGGATGGCATTGAATCTGTAAATTACCTTGGGCAGTATGGCCATTTTCACAATATTGATTCTTCCTACCCATGAGCATGGAATGTTCTTCCATTTGTTTGTATCCTCTTTTATTTCCTTGAGCAGTGGTTTGTAGTTCTCCTTGAAGAGGTCCTTCACATCCCTTGTAAGTTGGATTCCTAGGTATTTTATTCTCTTTGAAGCAATTGTGAATGGGAGTTCACTCATGATTTGGCTCTCTGTTTGTCTGTTGTTGGTGTATAAGAATGCTTGTGATTTTTGTACATTGATTTTGTATCCTGAGACTTTGCTGAAGTTGCTTATCAGCTTAAGGAGATTTTGGGCTGAGACGATGGGGTTTTCTAGATAAACAATCATGTCATCTGCAAACAGGGACAATTTGACTTCCTCTTTTCCTAATTGAATACCCTTTATTTCCTTCTCCTGCCTGATTGCCCTGGCCAGAACTTCCAACACTATGTTGAATAGGAGCGGTGAGAGAGGGCATCCCTGTCTTGTGCCAGTTTTCAAAGGGAATGCTTCCAGTTTTTGCCCATTCAGTATGATATTGGCTGTGGGTTTGTCATAGATAGCTCTTATTATTTTGAAATACGTCCCATCAATACCTAATTTATTGAGAGTTTTTAGCATGAAGGGTTGTTGAATTTTGTCAAAGGCTTTTTCTGCATCTATTGAGATAATCATGTGGTTTTTGTCTTTGGCTCTGTTTATATGCTGGATTACATTTATTGATTTGCGTATATTGAACCAGCCTTGCATCCCAGGGATGAAGCCCACTTGATCATGGTGGATAAGCTTTTTGATGTGCTGCTGGATTCGGTTTGCCAGTATTTTTTTGAGGATTTTTGCATCAATGTTCATCAAGGATATTGGTCTAAAATTCTCTTTTTTGGTTGTGTCTCTGCCCGGCTTTGGTATCAGAATGATGCTGGCCTCATAAAATGAGTTAGGGAGGATTCCCTCTTTTTCTATTGATTGGAATAGTTTCAGAAGGAATGGTACCAGTTCCTCCTTGTACCTCTGGTAGAATTCGGCTGTGAATCCATCTGGTCCTGGACTCTTTTTGGTTGGTAAACTATTGATTATTGCCCCAATTTCAGCTCCTGTTATTGGTCTATTCAGAGATTCAACTTCTTCCTGGTTTAGTCTTGGGAGAGTGTATGTGTCGAGGAATGTATCCATTTCTTCTAGATTTTCTAGTTTATTTGCGTAGAGGTGTTTGTAGTATTCTCTGATGGTAGTTTGTATTTCTGTGGGATTGGTGGTGATATCCCCTTTATCATTTTTTATTGTGTCTATTTGATTCTTCTCTCTTTTTTTCTTTATTAGTCTTGCTAGTGTTCTATCAATTTTGTTGATCCTTTCAAAAAACCAGCTCCTGGATTCATTGATTTTTTGAAGGGTTTTTTGTGTCTCTATTTCCTTCAGTTCTGCTCTGATTTTAGTTATTTCTTGCCTTCTGCTAGCTTTTGAATGTGTTTGCTCTTGCTTTTCTAGTTCTTTTAATTGTGATGTTAGGGTGTCAATTTTGGATCTTTCCTGCTTTCTCTTGTGGGCATTTAGTGCTATAAATTTCCCTCTACACACTGCTTTGAATGCGTCCCAGAGATTCTGGTATGTTGTGTCTTTGTTCTCGTTGGTTTCAAAGAACATCTTTATTTCTGCCTTCATTTCGTTATGTACCCAGTAGTCATTCAGGAGCAGGTTGTTCAGTTTCCATGTAGTTGAGCGGCTTTGAGTGAGATTCTTAATCCTGAGTTCTAGTTTGATTGCACTGTGGTCTGAGAGATAGTTTGTTATAATTTCTGTTCTTTTACATTTGCTGAGGAGAGCTTTACTTCCAAGTATGTGGTCAATTTTGGAATAGGTGTGGTGTGGTGCTGAAAACAATGTATATTCTGTTGATTTGGGGTGGAGAGTTCTGTAGATGTCTATTAGGTCCGCTTGGTGCAGAGCTGAGTTCAATTCCTGGGTATCCTTGTTGACTTTCTGTCTCGTTGATCTGTCTAATGTTGACAGTGGGGTGTTAAAGTCTCCCATTATTAATGTGTGGGAGTTTAAGTCTCTTTGTAGGTCACTCAGGACTTGCTTTATGAATCTGGGTGCTCCTGTATTGGGTGCATATATATTTAGGATAGTTAGCTCCTCTTGTTGAATTGATCCCTTTACCATTATGTAATGGCCTTCTTTGTCTCTTTTGATCTTTGTTGGTTTAAAGTCTGTTTTATCAGAGACTAGGATTGCAACCCCTGCCTTTTTTTGTTTTCCATTTGCTTGGTAGATCTTCCTCCATCCTTTTATTTTGAGCCTATGTGTGTCTCTGCACGTGAGATGGGTTTCCTGAATACAGCACACTGATGGGTCTTGACTCTTTATCCAACTTGCCAGTCTGTGTCTTTTAATTGGAGCATTTAGTCCATTTACATTTAAAGTTAATATTGTTATGTGTGAATTTGATCCTGTCATTATGATGTTAGCTGGTGATTTTGCTCGTTAGTTGATGCAGTTTCTTCCTAGTCTCGATGGTCTTTACATTTTGGCATGATTTTGCAGCGGCTGGTACCGGTTGTTCCTTTCCATGTTTAGCGCTTCCTTCAGGAGCTCTTTTAGGGCAGGCCTGGTGGTGACAAAATCTCTCAGCATTTTCTTGTCTGTAAAGTATTTTATTTCTCCTTCACTTATGAAGCTTAGTTTGGCTGGATATGAAATTCTGGGTTGAAAATTCTTTTCTTTAAGAATGTTGAATATTGGCCCCCACTCTCTTCTGGCTTGTAGGGTTTCTGCCGAGAGATCCGCTGTTAGTCTGATGGGCTTCCCTTTGAGGGTAACCCGACCTTTCTCTCTGGCTGCCCTTAACATTTTTTCCTTCATTTCAACTTTGGTGAATCTGACAATTATGTGTCTTGGAGTTGCTCTTCTCGAGGAGTATCTTTGTGGCGTTCTCTGTATTTCCTGAATCTGAACGTTGGCCTGCCTTGCTAGACTGGGGAAGTTCTCCTGGATAATATCCTGCAGAGTGTTTTCCAACTTGGTTCCATTCTCCGCATCACTTTCAGGTACACCAATCAGACGTAGATTAGGTCTTTTCACATAGTCCCATATTTCTTGGAGGCTTTGCTCATGTCTTTTTATTCTTTTTTCTCTAACCTTCCCTTCTCGCTTCATTTCATTCATTTCATCTTCCATTGCTGATACCCTTTCTTCCAGTTGATCGCATTGGCTCCTGAGGCTTCTGCATTCTTCACGTAGTTCTCGAGCCTTGGTTTTCAGCTCCATCAGCTCCTTTAAGCACTTCTCTGTATTGGTTATTCTAGTTATACATTCTTCTAAATTTTTTTCAAAGTTTTCAACTTCTTTGCCTTTGGTTTGAATGTCCTCCCGTAGCTCAGAGTAATTTGATCGTCTGAAGCCTTCTTCTCTCAGCTTGTCAAAGTCATTCTCCATCCAGCTTTGTTCCGTTGCTGGTGAGGAACTGCGTTCCTTTGGAGGAGGAGAGGCACTCTGCGTTTTAGAGTTTCCAGTTTTTCTGTTCTGTTTTTTCCCCATCTTTGTGGTTTTATCTACTTTTGGTCTTTGATGATGGTGATGTACAGATGGGTTTTCGGCGTGGATGTCCTTTCTGTTTGTTAGTTTTCCTTCTAACAGACAGCACCCTCAGCTGCAGGTCTGTTGGAATACCCTGCTGTGTGAGGTGTCAGTGTGCCCCTGCTGGGGGGTGCCTCCCAGTTAGGCTGCTCGGGGGTCAGAGGTCGGGGACCCACTTGAGGAGGCAGTCTGCCCGTTCTCAGATCTCCAGCTGCGTGCTGGGAGAACCACTGCTCTCTTCAAAGCTGTCAGACAGGGACATTTAAGTCTGCAGAGGTTACTGCTGTCTTTTTGTTTGTCTGTGCCCTGCCCCCAGAGGTGGAGCCTACAGAGGCAGGCAGGCCTCCTTGAGCTGTGGTGGTCTCCACCCAGTTCCAGCTTCCCGGCTGCTTTGTTTACCTAATCAAGCCTGGGCAATGGCGGGCGCCCCTCCCCCGGCCTCGCTGCCGCCTTGCAGTTTGATCTCAGACTGCTGTGCTAGCAATCAGCGAGACTCCGTGGGCGTAGGACCCTCCGAGCCAGGTGTGGGATATAGTCTCGTGGTGCGCCGTTTTTTAAGCCGGTCTGAAAAGCGCAATATTCGGGTGGGAGTGACCCGATTTTCCAGGTGCGTCCGTCACCCCTTTCTTTGACTCGGAAAGGGAACTCCCTGACCCCTTGCGCTTCCCAGGTGAGGCAATGCCTCGCCCTGCTTCGGCTCGCGCCCGGTGCGCGCACCCACTGGCCTGCGCCCACTGTCTGGCACTCCCTAGTGAGATGAACCCGGTACCTCAGATGGAAATGCAGAAATCACCCGTCTTCTGCGTCGCTCACGCTGGGAGCTGTAGACCGGAGCTGTTCCTATTCGGCCATCTTGGCTCCTCCTCTCGAAAATGATCTTTCTTTTTCTTTTTCGTGGATGTTTTCATTTTTACTTCTGTAAAATGAAAAGTAATGTTCAATTCAATGTTGGCTGACATTGAATAATAATTCTTTTTCTTAAAAAGTACAATCTGAACTTTTACAGCATAAATGATAAGTACGTTAGAAAAAATGCTATAATTTAATAATACAGATGCCATGCCAAGTAACGTAACACTGAACAATAGTTTAGTTTGAATTTGGATAAACTACACATCTAGGTAAAGCATAAAGAATTACGGAAATGTCAGAAAGATAGACGTATTTACAGTAAAATTTACTAATGGTGAAAGTGGAATATAAACTCAGTTTCAGTATAGCCATATCAGTATAACATTTTAATAAAATTGGTCAAAAATAAGACAAACTTGATTGATTGTTAGTGTATTAGAGCCAAAAGTAAACTTTAATTCATCATAGTTCCTTTTTAATCAGAATAACAGCAGCATTGTGGATTGGAGGATAGTCATTTTGTAGTGGTATGATTAAAACAGTTTATGATAGTTTAATAATCTAATAAGGAATAAGATGGAAAGATCTTTGAAAAGACAGTTAGCTGCATGCCTATAATAAGCTGGATGTACTTTCATATGAATTTTATCTATGATGCCAAAAGATGTGTTCCAAACATAAAAGGGAAAATTAAATTTGGAGAGGAGGACATTTTTTCCTCTCTAAAACGTGCCTGACCCAGTATAGTTTATGGCATGGTTTAATCAGAATATTAAAATTCTCACAGTATTATTTATACAGAATTTATCTGGGGAAGAGCTATATTGAATAAAATTGTTTTTCTGTTAACTTGTGTAAAATTAAAAGTTATCAAATTTAACTTTTGAAAAAAAATTGGAAAACAGTTGAAGAACAATTGCTTCTGAGTTTAAGAAACAGAACATCAGAAGTGTCACTGCCAAACTATAAACTCCTGTTAAGAGGACTAAACTCCTTTATAGAAAGGACTATGGTGCTGCTGGTAAGATCTGAAACATCACTGTGACTTAATGGAAAGTAATCACCTTTTGGTAGAAATCACATTAATGTTCCTAACTGATACTTATAAAGTGAACCAATCTGCTGTGCTTAAATGAAAAATACAATTATCCACATACAAAGCAGTGTGTTGAAAATATAGATTTATCCCCCTGTATGTTTTCTGTAACTTTTTACTAGATGGCAACATTTGCTGTATCTAACCTGGTTACTATATAAGGCACAAAAAGAGCTCAGAAGATAAGACTGAACAACTGCCATTTTTCTTGCTTGAAGATCTTCAGTACCACAAGAGTGGGCCCACTATTTACTCCTGAGCAGTCACTGTCCTTGTAGTTGTAATTTTGTGCTTGGGTATTCTCCAAAGCCTCTTGTTCCTTTGAAAATTATGTATTTTCAAACATCGGTGTTCTGGTCCTTGGATCATGGCTATACCATGCCTCCTGGAGTTTCAGTTAATGTGGTAAGTGTCAGTCTTGGAGACCTCAGAAATCCTTCTATTAAGCCTGTCATAAAATTACACAAGGTTTTTCAAAAACTTTTTTCTCAAACCAAATTCTCTATTACTCAGGGTTTAGCCACAGAAGTAGAATATTAATATATATAATATGTATACATACACTATGTATATGTAAACTATATGTGTCTATAGACAACATATATACAGTTATTTTATATGTGTGTGTATGTATATGTGTTTAATATACATTTTATATATATATATATATATATATATAGACGAGAGAAAGAGTAAATTAAATTTCTTTGCTTTTGTTACAAGGAGCTTTCAGAACTGTGAACTGTTGTCTCCACATCTGATGCTGAAGCTCGAAGCCTAAGGCACAAGCAGTTAGGAAGGGAAGGTCATAAGCAGGCTGGAACCCACAAGCATGAGCTGGAACCCTGCAAAGATGGACTGAAACCCTGTTTGTTCTTGTTGCCTCTGACCCTAGTGATGAGTGTGTCCTGCAGAAGCCAGGCCCTTCATCGTGGAGTTAACCTGACACCTGGCCCAGGAGTCAGAGGCGCTGAAGGAGGATTCAGGGCAGGTGGATCGAGTTTGGGCCCAGATGCTGCTCAATACCATGACAGTGAGCCATGAGCTCAGCAACAGTTTGTGTGAGCTACAGAATGGCTGCATCACTTCTGCTGCTCCAAGAAGCTCACACAGAGAAAAAGTAAATCCCTTCGTAAGAAGCTGAGATAACAGAATGAGGAAACTGGTCCTAGGCCAGAAAAGAGGAATGTAAGGTTATTAATATAAAGGAATGTAAGTGTGTGGTTTAAGTTCTTTTTTTTTTGAGACCGAGTCTCGCTCTGTCACCCAAGCTGGAGTGCAGTGGCGCGATCTCGGCTCACTGCAAGCTCCGCCTCCCGGGTTCACGCCATTCTCCTGCCTTGGCCTCCCGAGTAGCTGGGACTACAGGCGCCCGCCACCACGCCTGGCTATTTTTTTTTTTTTTTTTGTATTTTTAGTAGAGGTGGGGTTTCACCGTGTTAGCCAGGATGGTCTTGATCTCCTGACCTCGTGATCCGCCCGCCTCGGCCTCCCAAAGTGCTGGGATTACAGGCGTGAACCACTGTGCCCAGCCTTGTGTGGTTTATGTTCTTAACATAACATTTATGGACACACATTTTGGCATATGCAGTGCATTTTGTATTCAGTGCACATCTCTTGAATAGTTCTGTGGAGCACTCCTCTTCATTTAGAGGATGCACTTTTGCTCATTGTTGTTATACCTGTTGTTCTTTGAATCTCACCTCCACATTTCATCAGTGGCTAAGCATGTGGATTCTAGCACATGCCTATGACTTTTTGGTGAGTGGAACTTGAAATATCTGACAGAAATTGCAAGTCGGTAGTAGAAATAGATTAATCACTAATAAAAAAGATTCACAGTTGCCTTCTGTAATGTAGCTTAAATTTAGTGGCTGATAGACAAAAAAAGCAAATGGAATTATGAAAAGTGGATGGAATTGATTTTTTTAAGCATAAGGAGTTGTGAGGAAAGACATAGCCGTACTGATACAAATGCAGCTTCCAGTAAATCTCATTTTTCTTAGCCGTAATTATGAAAATCCTCTTGAGCATTCCAGCCTGCTGTGAGCTGCTCTGCTGTTTTTCACAACACAGACAATTTCAGTTATCTTAGAAATCTGGAGCTGTCTTCAGCCCAATGCCCAGAAGAATCCGCTAGTACTGTGCTCAGGGTCAATTGTTGCTTAAACTACTTTTAGAGTCTATTCAACATGACAAGCAGATCAATCTTTTCAATTCAGAACTGATGAAATTTTACATTTTAGAAAGCATTGCCTGGAGAGTATGAATTCAATAGATGTGTTTTAGGACCAGTTGCTGTTTCTTTTGGCTATTTTACTAGGGCTTCTCTAAATGCAGAACACTAAACTCATTTGAAGCTTTTAAACAGGCTTCATTCTCTCAATATATACGTGTGTTCCAGAGTATAAGGAATTAATCTTAGAGCATCATCTTGTAGTATAACCAAGTATGGACACTGATTTTAAGCAGTTCATGTAGAATAAGGAAATTGACATTGCAGTTGTATTTATATCTTATTTTTTAAACTTACGTATCCTATGCCGAGTTATGTATAAAAGAAAATGCTAGGGTAAAATGTCTATTTCTAGGCTATGGCAAATAGGATGAAAACTCACATTGCTTATCCTTTAGATTTACATTACAATAAAAATGGTTTCATATCTGAGTCACAGTAATTTTATCCAAAAATATATTGGAATAAGAGCAAATGAATGCACCTTGGAGAGGTAAACAGGCAGCAGCAGGATCAATGACACTGGTAGTGTAATCACCTGTGAAAAAAGTCTTGATTTTTGTCTTTATGTAGTCAAAATAACAGTTTATTGTACATAACAAAAGAATTAGTGGAAAAAATTGAATTTTTTCTTATGCTTCCTGAAACTGTTTTCAGTTGACTTTTTGATGGACTACGCAGAATAGACTCACCTGTTTTTAGCCTGAAAATTGACCTATGGCAGTGTTAAAAGGATGCCACTGAATCTGTAATGAGATAGGCAGCGAAGGGGTTTGGCATTCAGTCCTGGGTGGAAGAATGGTAAAGAAACTCTTTTCGGTATTTAAAGAGAACAGGGTAATGTTGGTAGGCATAACATTTTCCAATAAAGATTCCTTAACAATGACGTTAGGGCCTTCCAGCAGCCGACATGAAAATAAAGCTGCTGTGTAGTAGTCCACACAGTTACCCTATCTGTCCAAATGCTAAATCCATGAATCTGGCATTGACATTTTATTTATTTATTTTCCATTTTGCAAAACCTATTTAATCAGAATAAATAGAGTCCTGGGCAGGGCTCCAGCACCCCCACGATGCCTGCTCCAGGTTGCAGGTTTCACAATGGGAAGCAGCATTACTTTGTCATCATGGTGTCTCAGTGAAGTCATTGAAAGGGACTGGTGTGGTCTCAGGTGAGCATCTGTGCCTGCAGGGTCCTGGGAACAGGGTGACTGGGGCTCTGGTCCAGCCTTTGAGGCCCATTGCTGTCCTGTCAGCCATCTCATTCGTCTGTGAGCACGGCAGGGAGTGGCACAGCCTCCTTGGTTCTGCCAACCCTGCCAGGAAGGGACATCAGCAAGGAACAATAACATTTTCAGTAAGCAATAATTTAACAAAACAATTATGTGAGAAAGGAAGGGAGACAGAAGATATCTTTGTCTGGGCCACACATTGTAAGGCACTGTAGTGAATTTAGTGACATACATACAATTTGAAACTGCGTTTGCTGGTTTTAACATCAGATATTTTGATTATGAAGCCCATTGAACATTTTGATGTGTTTGATAGAGGTGCTATTGTTGCTTGCTCTCCATTATAGTAAAGGTGTCATTAGGAAAGGTTTAAATGTGCCTAACAACCCTCCTGCCTGTGGAGAGAACAGAAATGTCACACAGGTACCAAGCAGGAGAGAAGGCTCTGAACCATTTTTGTCCTCTGCATTTTGATTGGTTGATGATTTGGCTTCTTTAGAGGCTGCCGAGGCTGCAAAAGGAGTGAAAACTAACCAGCCACTAAATTTTGAAACACCAAGGAGGTCAGAGAAGCTGGGGTTATTATCATCTCTCAGAGAGCAAATAAAACATTAAACATTTTCAGTCTCATTTTTTGTGACAGATTTTGACAGGAACATAAAATAAAAACCTCACGAATTTGTGCTGGTGACAATGATTATAACACGACCAGGGAATGGTATAAATGTCAACATTTCTCGAATCGATTTGAAGATTGTGATCTTGCAGACCTCCGCAGACACCGCAAATGACTAGAGTAGAATTTCCCCACTTATGATTACTTTATTGGAAGAGGTGAAGAAATTTCAATATAATACCTGACAAAAAAGAATTTAAAACCCACCACCACATTCTGAGGAGTAAGACATTTTCACATCATTGTGAGATTTCTTCTCGAATCTTCCTGCAAAGTATATAAAACAAGCCCAGTAATTTTCAAAGAAAGACCTTCATATAATAGTATTTTGATTCAAATTAAACTTGTGGTTTCTATTGAATTAAAAAAACTTAATCTTTCTGTTGTAGTTACATATGTTATTTAAGATTTATAGTTAGACTCTCTTTACCACTAGCTTTTCATGGAATCATTTTTGGTTATAGAATAATGTCTTCATGCAAAATAACCAACCTTCTTTGGCCATCGACCCTTTTTAACCTCATAATAGAATCACTAAATTAATAGAGATGAGTGTTTTGGTGAAACTTGTACAAAATGGAAATTAAACACAACTTTAAAGAAGCATGAGAAAGCAGAGAGCACACATTATCCTAACAATCTGTGTCTTATTTAAAATTTCTTAAAAGGAAGACTTTTTAAAACTGCTCCTTCCTAATCCTAAATGTTTATCTGAAGGGTCAAAGGAACCACTAGGTGTTGCTCTAAGACAGCTTCCTATAGACAAACCAGTAAATTGCTTTATGGTTTTGAGATTTCATCGGTCATTATAATTTCCTTAAAAATGGTAAGATTAAATCTGAGGCTTAGAAAATTAGTCTTAAATAGTACCATGATCATCTATTAAAATATGTATAACATCTGCACATGTGCCCCTCCCCAACATCTCTGAAATGCCTTTTAAATGAAAATCAAATATAAAATCCTATGTATTACTGATGGTCATGTGCACTTAATACCAAAATAACCAGTTTGAATTGGAGACAATCACCTTTCTTTTTGCTATACTCAAACGGTCCCCAACAGTTCATTTGATTATTAATTACTGACATTACTGAAATGAGAGATTGTTTTAGTATTAGGGAATGGAACTTTTATTTTAGCTGAGGTTTTTACCACATCAAGCAGCTTCTGCAAAAGGAATTTTGGATTTTGGCAGTGTGACACCCATTCTCTCTCTCTCTCTCTAAGCTAACAATCCAGTAACCCATCTAGTATTCCGTGGTGACACTTGGAATACACATGAAATGAGTTTTCTTGGTTCATTGATGTTTCTCCATAGTTGAAAACTACTCTATGCTATAGCTTGACAAATTTAGACTGTTCATTGCAAAAGCCAGGACTAAATTATTAGAAATGTGGCAATATAAAAATGAGGTGAACTAGAAGAACTTTGGGGAAGATACTGAATAACACCTAGTTTCTGCACAGGAGTTTCTGTGGCTCTGCATCTTATAGGACTTTCTAGTTTTGTGAAGGAGAAAAGGATGTAAATGCTATTCTGGTAAATAGAACGTTGATATACCATTAACAATGACAAATAGCTGTCTCTTTGAACCCAGATCATTCATAGTTCTTAATCTTTTAATTAATATAAAGGAATATAAAAAATTAGACTATAATGAATTGTGATTTTCTTTCCATTTCATTTTTTATAAAAGTCTGGGTATGCTGTTTTCCAAAAGAGACAGTAAAGATCCTCTCAGGCTGGGTGTAGTGGCTCATGCTTGTAATCCCAGCACTTTGGGAGGCTGAGGTGGGTGGATCACCTGAGGTCAGGAATTTGAGACCAGCCTGACCAACATGGCGAAAGCTCATCTCTACTAAAAATACCAAAAGTAGCTGGGCATGGTGGCGTGTGCCTGTAGTCCCAGCTATTTGGGAGGCTGAGGCATGAGAATCACTTGAATCTGGGAGGTGGATGTTGCAGTGAGCCAGGATCACATCACTGCACTCCAGCCTGGGCGACAGAGTGAGACTCTGTCTCAAACAAAACAAAACGAAACAAAACAATCATTTCTACACTCTTTTTAATTCTGCATCTTTGGCTGAGATCGACTATTGAATCAATACATCAAGGAATTAATCTTATCTTGCCAAGGAAACAGCCCTGTTGATCTAATACCTTTTTAATATCACCAATGATTATGATATATCATTTATTAATGCAGTTTTCCTGAAGAAATATAAAATAGAAAGTTTGCAACTTAAAAAAATGTCAGGTTTTTTTTTTGTCATTTTGCACATACAGTTACTACTGAGTGACTATTTAGGCTGAATTTGTATATACCAACCTTATTAATATGTTTGGGGTAAAAAACATTAACAGAGAAATGCACAAGAGCTTCTTTATCTTGGAAGTTAAAGAAATGGCTTCAAGAATTAGGGAAATTGATTTGAATCCAGACTATACCATTTTCAAGCAAACTAACCCCTTTAAATCTTCAGTTTCTCACCTGTTAAATTGGGAAAACAATAGCACCGATCCCATGGTGCTGTTGTAAGAATTACAAGAAATAAAACATATTAGGACCTGGTTCAGTGCCCATATGATAGAAATGTCCAATAACATTATCTTGAAGTCTGTTTTTCTGTAGATCTGTGAATTTGGTCTCACGGAGATTCACAGTGTTCCCTAGAAGTGACTATTGCAAATAACTGAAATTTATCTCCTTTAAAGCACCAAACACCTTTTCTGTTTTACTCCTTCAAGAGCATTCAGGTAAACAGCATGAGTTTGGTGCATACGTTCTCACCTATTTTCACTGCTGCTCATAGGCATTTTTTGCTCACCTTCTTGATGCTGGCTGTGTTCTGGATGATGGAAGTTTAACAGGTGATATATCTGAGTCAATGAGGTGTTACATCTTCTTTTCTTGTTAGACCAAGAGCGAGAGACTTGACATGCCATGTACTAAACGAGAGGACATTGTCATTGCCTAGAAATGCTGCACCTCTGTCTTCAACTTTAGTATCTTCTTCTTTGAACCTAAACTTCCATTAAACCATCTGACTTCTGTTCCTTCTCTCTGTCTCTTTTCAAACCTCATTAAACTCCCAGGACCTTGATTCTTCAATTTTTCTTTGTCATTGGCCTCTATTGTTTTTATTTTCTTCTCTAGCCTGAGAAAATTACATGATCCATAGCTTAAATTACATTATTTTTAAAACTTTACCCTCTTACTTATCCCTTTCATACTTTTATTTCACTCACCTAAAATATTCCAACTGTGTATCAATGCAATTGTTTTAACAACTTGCTGTTGAACAAGATGGTGGTGGGAGACAGAGGTGCAGTAAACAGATCTAATAGATCTGGACAACTTTACAGAATGGGGACAGGAAGACCTCTGCAAAGACCAGCGATTTCCTTCCATGTTGCTTGTCATCTGCCTCTCCAATCCCCATGACACTGTCACATGCACTGTGACTACTCTCATTTGGTCTCATGTTCTCCTAAAGCCTCTTTACCTAGCAAACCATTTCACTTCCCACGTCCTAGAGGATCTAGAAGTTATCACAAGTTTCTGAACTTCTTGAGTGCTCCCGACCCCATCTATTTCTTCTTTGCTTTTTTTCTGCTAGTTCAGTGGATGAATTGTCTCTACTCTTACATGAAATTGTTCTTTGACCTGTGCTCTGCATACCATTCCCTTTTGCCTCTTATGCACCTCTGTCCATCAGTAGTATTCTCTCCCACCTCTCTTATCAATTCTTCCTCTTTACTGGATCCCTTACAAAACATTTCTTTCTCTTGGCTCCCACTGGGCAAATCTGAGTTAATTTGAGACTCTAAATAAATAAAAAAACCAGCATAATTAAATAATAATCCACGAGTCCAAACTGATGTAAGTAAACACATTAAAAATAGAGAAATAGTGGAGAAAAAGGTATTTCTTATATACCAACTAATAGGTGGCAAAATTGAATTAGAAAAATCACAATTTGGGATAATGTTTTTAGGAATAACAGTAAATTCACATATTCTCAAAGAATTTCCCCACAAGATACAAAGGGGAAATGAGTAACTAGAAAAGAAAACCAGCAGATGCCACCTTGACTAATGATCACAGTTAATATTACCAGCAATGGGACAAATAGATGTCTACCCTTCCAAATATGATGCAATGAAAAGGACACACCTCACTTTTGTGGTATTTCTGCCAAAAATGCATAACCTGAATCTAATCATGAGGAAACCTCAGAAAAACCTAAGTTAAGGTAAAAATCTACAACAATAAATGGCCTCCAGTCTTCAAAAATGTCAAGACCATGAAATCACAAAAGAGAAAGAATGTGGGATTGTTAGATTATAGGAGAAAAAAGAGATATGACAACTAACAGAAAGTTCTTTGTGATTCTGGGTTCTGGGTTGGAGTCTGGACCAGTATTTTAAAAAAAAATGCCAAATCTTATTAGTAGGACAGTTGGAAAAGATTTGCACGAGATCTGTAGCTTAGATTATAATTTTGTATTAATGTTAATGTCCTAATTTTGGTAATTTTATTGTGGTCAAGTAATGAGGAAATGTGTTTACTAAAACACACATATTGAATACTTAGACTATTTAGGGTTAAAGGTGCATCATATCTGCAACTTACTCTCAAGTATTTCAGAAAATTTAATACACACAGAATATGGCAAATATAAAATGTTGAGATTTGGAGAATCTGTGGAGGATTTATGGGAATACGTTGTGCTATTTTTTTTTACAGCTTTCTTGGAAGTCTCAAATTATTTTGGAATAAAAAGGTAAAAAACAAGCTATCATACTACATTTCTTTCTAGGACTACAGTCAAGTACCACCACATCTGGATAATTATCATTTTTCTTTTTCGTGGAGATGGAGCTTTGCTGTGTCTCAAACTCAAGCTTACCCAGGATGGTCTCAAACTCCTGGTCTCAACTCATCCTCTGCCTCAGCCGCCCAAAGTGCTGGGATTGCAGGTGTGAGCCACAGTGCCCAGCCTTACTTCACTGTTTGCCAGCAGTTTACTGTTTTGAAAACTTTCTTCTGAGCCAGATTTCTCTATCTAACTTTGCATTTGCCACATACTACAGGCATCCTGTGATCACAGGATTCCAAACTAAATGTATCATGTTGTCTCTCCCCCTCCTCTCTACTCCTCACTTGCTAAACATGCTCTTCCCTCCTTTTGATTCTGGGGAATGACGTTGCAGTCCATCTATGTAGCTGGGTCAGGAACCATTTATCCTTCACTCTACCTCATATCAGTCATAATTCCTACAATTCTGTAAATGCCTGTCATCTGTTCTTTCATTTTTATTCCCATTTTTATATCTATTGATTTAATTTAAACTGTTTTATTTCCTTGCCTGGGTTACTTAACCATATTACAGATTTTAGACTCAGAGGGTCTTGACTTGGGCTTTGTAAAATCAGGTGAATCATTGTTATGGTCTGAATGTTTGTGATGTCCCCACACGTATATGTTAAAACCAAATCCCCTTGTGATGGTATGAGGAAGTGGGACATTTGGGAAGTGGTTGGTGCCCTTATAAAAAGAGCCGTGGAGTGACCTCTTGGCCATTCTGCCATGCAGGACACAGCAAGATGTCCATCTCTGAAACAGACAGTGGGTCTGTCCTCGGCTACTGCCTTGATCTTGGACTTTCTAGCCTCCAGAACCATGAGAAATAAATTTCTATCGTTTGTAAGTCACCAGATATAAAGTATTTTATATAGCAGCCTGAATGGACTAAGGCAGTCATCACATCCCTGAGTCTCAATTTCCTTATTTGCAAAATGAGCATCATAATATGCATATAAGGATATTTGTGAGCATCAGATGAGGAAAGGTACCAGGCAGATTTTGGTAGCTGTGGAGGATTATACGGATGCTAGTTGCTTTATTCTACTTTTCTAGAAGTTCACCTCTTATACTGGCTCTTTGCTTTTACAAAGCACACACTGCCAGGGTGTTCAGGAGAGAGTGAGTGCATATGGAGAGTAAGGGAGTGAGACTATTCTGCTGGATCCAGTAAAATGCCTTTCTCTGAGCACAGAGATCAACAAATGTGCTCATGTCTATCTCTTGGCATTAAGCAGTCAATAACCATGTGAACTATACTTTTACTTACAATAATATGTAGCATAAAACAGGACCTCCACAACTCCTTTCTTATATTTTACAGGAGTAGCTCTTCAGCTCCTCAGCTTTTTTCATTGGTTTACCAAGGAACAAATGTGCCTTGGTTGAGATTCAATAAAATCAATTAATTAGGCAACCCTTTTAAGCAACAATGGAAACAGGAGTCAGGAACTGTGTTAATGCCTTGTCTTGGGCAAGACAATGCTCAGCACTTGCTCCTGTACTAAAAGCACAGCCACACGGGTCATTATTGTGTTTGCTGAAAGACTGCCTGGTTATTTCACTGAATGGATGCTGCAGCTCTTGTGTCAGGTTTTATATAGCTAATTTAATTGTTGCCAATGGCAACAGCAGGGGGTCATGTCAGCGACTGATGCCATTTATACTGCTGAAGTAAAGTCTGTATCAGCATTTCCATTAGAAATCTGTTTAAAATAATACTGATTGAGCAAAGAAACAAAGGGAAAGAAAGAGGGTCGAAGAGTTTTGAAGATAATGTAGATGTGACCACTCCTGTTCATATGGATACAGATGGTACATAAGTTTGTTCATTCATTCATTCAACAACTATTTACTGAATACTTCTTAGTCCCAGTTACTATGCATGATATAAATGTTTAGCAAATAATAGTCCTAGATCTTCATGGAGCTTACAGTCTAGAGTGGAAGACAAATGATAAGTAAATAATACATAAATAAATAGGTAATTACTAATTGTGATTAAGAACTGTGAGAGAAATAAACAGCTGCTGAAAAAACTTTAACTGAATGGGGAGATGCAAGCAGTGAAACATCTCAGGTGGTGACGTCTAAACTGACTTGAAGGGTGAAAAGCAGTTGTGAATGGTAGGCAAGTTTGAGTCAGAGACCTGCGCATTTGAAGTTCCCAAGACTAGGAGGGGATTTGGAGTGTCAAGAGACACAGCAAGCTGACTTGCTTGGCAGCATTGGTCATTCACTTCGGTCATCATGAATTTATAGTGATGCGAACATGTCCAGCTTTACTGTTTCCTCTAGCATCATTTAGCTACACAGGTAAAGGTATGGACAAGACAGACAAGGTCAGGTTCATTCAGATTAAAATGAATTTTTCTTAGGTGAGTGTGATGGTGAAGGGAGAGGCAGGGATTTGGGGGAAGTGCAAGGGAGGGCAAAGGAATAATTTAATGAATCAACCTTATGATCTAAAATGAAGGATGGAAGTACAGACAGGAGGACTTGTAAAGACTAAGGAGCAGGGGAAATAAACTGATGGTCTGTGGCTGGAGAGGTAAAGACAACATTTAAGCAATGACTGTGAGAATGCTGAGGCATTTTTGGTGATGAGAAGTCAAGAATACAGTAGGGGTTTAAAGTAAAGACCTTCTACTTAGATTAGGTGTTGTAGTGTCCTTAGAAGTCTGCCTATGGGCAGGGTGCAGTGGCTCATGGCTATAATCCCAGCGCTTTGGGAGGCTAAGGTGGGAGGATCACTTGAGCCCAGGAGTTCAAGGCCATGCTGGACAATATAGCAAGAACTTGTCTTAAAAAAAAAAAACAACACACACCCACACACAAATTAGCCAGGTGTGGTAGTGCATGCCTATAGACCCAGCTACTCAGGAGGCTGAGGTGGGAGGATTGCTTGAGCCCAGGAGGTTGAGGCTGCAGTGAGCCATGATCCATGATTGTGCCACTGCACTCTAGACTGGGTGACAGAGCGAGACCCTGTCTCAAAAAAAAAAAAAAAAAAAGAAGTTTGCTTATATTGGCAGTTTTATGTCCTCTAGGTTTTTCTTAACTATCCCATGTTCCCTAATATTTTACTGTTGGGGCTACTGGTCACCCCTCATTCCCCATTCCATATGAATCTGTCCTTTCTTGCCCTAAAATCCTCTTGGAAAAATCCATTCTCATTAAAATTTACTTGTTTATTTGCCCCATTCCCTGGATCCCTACCAGCTGATATGTTAGTTAACAAGAGAAACAAATTCAGTTAAATATTAATTTGGGATGATAGTTTAATATGTTATTCCAGATAACACATTTGCATTTTAGCAGAGGCTTTTAATAACAAATAGAAAAGAACATCTAATGTAGAAATTTAAGCCAGAGAGAGAAATATTTTGGTGCAGAACATTTTTTTCTCTCACTGTCAAATCCTGGGGATCATCACTTAATTTACTTATATGTAGGGTCAAACCTGAAGACCAGATATAAAAGTTATTGTTTTAAAGCTGTAACAAAATTGGAAACATACTAGAAACTTAATCCCATTCTGACTTTTCATGGTAAGGAAAGTAAGCCTTGAAAACAAAATGAGTTCTTCACCTAGTTAATAACGCGGGTGGACAGCTTCTTAAACCCCAGTGTATACCACACAGTATACACTGCACTTCTTCTTATCTGCTAGAGACATTCAAATTCAACCTTCTCCAGTAGGTAAAAGAAGGTCTTATTATAAAAGATATTCTGAGATGGAGACCCTACAATTTTCTCAAATACCCTGTCCAGTGTTTACTAACCTTTAATGTCTGGAAATTATCCATTTCAATTCAGCAAAGTGTAGTGGAAAGAACAGTGGGTTTGGGATAAGATGTGGGTTGTGATCATAGTTGTGGAAGGCAGCCTCTAAGATGGTCCCCATTCCCCCACCTCCTCATACTCATGCCTGTGTGTAATCCCTTCCCATTGAGTGTGGGCTGGACCTCGTGATTTGTTTCCAATGAAGAGAATATGGATAAAGTACAGGAATGTTATTTACAATATTGGGTTCTGTAAAGACTGTGGTTCCCATCTTGAGAATTCTCTTTGCCCTCTCTTGGATTGCTTCCTCTAGGGGAAGCCAGCTGCCATTTTGTGAGGCAGCATGTAGAGAGATCCATGTGGGGAGGAATCAAGGTCTGCCCACAACCCCAGGAATGAGTTTGGAAGTGGATTTCTCCTCTCTTCTCCATCCCTCACTTGCCCAAAGGGTTGAGCCTTCAAGTGAAGTTGCAGCCCTGGCTGACAACTTAGCTGGAACTGCAACCTCATGAGACACCTTGAGCCAGAGGTACCAAGTCAAGTTGTGCCCCTATTCCCAACCCACAGACACAGTGAGATAACAAATGTTTATTGTTTTAAGCTGGTTTGGTAGCATACTTTTGTGTTAGTCCTAGCCTTTCTGTGCCACAGTTTCTTCACTTGTATGTGTTTGACAGTTGAACCAGATGATTTTATTTCTGAATAACAAGGGAATTTATTGATGCATAAGTGGAATGTCTAGAGGTAGAAAGGGAGGTTTGACCCAGCAGCTTAAAGATGTCACCAAAACATGTATTTTCCCCAGTTCTGAATTAGATGATCTTTGAGGTGACTTATCTATACACAATTACCTAAATTCCTCATGTGTTATTGTAAGCCAATTCTACTAATTCTATCTTCAATAATGATGAAGAATATTCAGCCACAGTTCTTCCAAAAATAACTCTTTATTAAATAATATGAAATTTTAAAGATTTGGTTTTATCTTATTATTCTCCAGTGCTAAATTTACTTATTTCTTTAAACCATAGTATTACATTCAAATGCTGTGTCACATAAATCTTATTACACATAAAATTCTGCAAGAAAAAAACACATAGATGCATTTTTGTCCATATGATGTGACAATGGTTTTACAAAGCTTTTATTTCAAAGATATAAACATCTTGATTGGTTCTTAATTTGACAAAACAATCTCAGAGATTCAGACTATTGACCCTAGATAAGTTGAGCCCCCTGAAGATGATTTCAGAAGTTTGTTTTCAGTATCTATTTGGACAAAGTGAGTGTGACATGGAGATGACCATGTTCTCAGAAAAGATTTCCCCTAAACATGCAGCAGAGGTCTTCCTTCTGGACACCCATTAGGTGGCCAATATTTTCTCAATTCATTGATCCAGATCCCAGCATATGTTTTCCAAACAGAACAGAAAGTACTCTGTTGGCATGCTGGAGGAATGAAGCCAATTAGTCCTCAGAAAATCCTGGACTCTATTCTGTCATGGTAGTTCTATACAGCAACTCATTAAAAATAATACGAGTGCTATGTAAAATCTTCTCTGGGTATTGATTTCTACTTCTCAATATGTTGTATTTGAGCCAGAGCCCTTATTTTTTCCACATTACGGGCTATCGCTTCATCCGTGAAGCCAAAGAAATGTGTTTATTTGGTTTGGTTTGGGGTGTGTGTGTGTGTGTGTGTGTGTCTATTTGTGTGGCATGGTGGATAATTTTCAAAGGAATGATTGTGGTGTCTCATATTAACTTTGTCATTTCTTTGTGTTATTAAACTACAGAAGTTAGCCAGAGACAGAAACCACATTACAGACAAATGTTTGTAATCCTTAATACCAAAATGATCTCAAAATAGGTATTTAGAAGCTAAAAAAATGCAAATACAGTCTGTTCTAAGCAGCATATATGCTATTCTTTATTTTCTGTCTTGTAAATTATCCTCCTCTTCCATTTTTCTGAAACTTGTTAAAGATGCTGGGCCTTAGCCACTAAGGTCCCAAATCTCTTCAGTTATCCAAGAATCTGATGCTGGCTAATCAGTGATAGGGAGTGCCCGCAGTGCCCCCAGGCCTCTTCCCACTCCCTGCTGTCTCCACCACACTTCCAATGAGAGCTCAGGTCTCATTTGTCCTTGACAGAGGCCATGGACTGAAAATGCTAACTGTGCACTGTGATGGCTCAGTTAGTGATGAGGTCACCTGTGGCTCAAGGCTCAGGGAAGACCCCCGACGGCTTTCAGCTAGGTCGGTGACCAGCTGTCAGTGGGAAGAGTCCCCTGTCAGTGCCAGGTTGGGGGAGACTCGGAGCTCTGACCTGGAGGGGAAAAGGTAGAGCTTCTCAAGACTTGCCCTATTTGCATCCTAATGATAGAGAGTGAGGTGACTTTGGGAGGCAGCCCCTGTCTTCAGACCTCCCACAAAGAAGCAGATGCATTTAAGGGGAGGAGAACTGGGGGAAAGACAGAGCTCTCTTCCTTTGTTGATTCACTGCCCGATGCTAATGCTACTTTAAAGGCAGAAGCTTTCCTTTATTAGGAAATGTACTGTAGACTAGGGCTTAATATTGCTTTTCGTTGATTTCTTTTTTTTAAACTTGATCTCATGAATCCTTCAGCCTGATGTTAGGTAATTTGGAAATAAGAAAATAAACAACTTAGGTTTTTTTGCAGAGATAGAAAGTGGCTTTTAATCCTCTAATGTTTTCTTCAGTCATCACCAAGCTTTAGTGAAGAGAACAGCCTGAAAAACAGAAAGCTCTGCAATGATTCGGCAGTGTGTGCTGGAGAGACAGTGCCTGAGAGCATCATAAACACGAGGGGAGAGGCGCTCCATAAATATGCGGGTAGTTATTTATTACAAAATAAATTATGTATTGACATGAGGAATTACACCATAATTTTCTGTTTGAGATGGTACCAAACTAAATTGGTTTCTATCTAAAAGGTCACATGGAATGCTGGCTTTGTGTTCCTGTCATGACATTTGCCTTATTGGCATTCAGGTGCATTCCCTCTGCTTCATGCAATCACTGTCTCCTTTCACTGTGTTTACAGATAATCCAGCAACTTTGCAGGCCAAATGGCGTTCTGAATATGAGCCCACAAAGCATTGAATCAGACAGCCTCCTGCTTAGAGAGTTTTCAGCACAGTTCAGCCATAAGGCAAACATCAATAATTGCTTTAGAAGGGAAAGTGACAGGCAATTGTTCATAATTTGCCATCACAATAATTAAGAGTGGCTAGGACTATTGCAACCACTATTTAATTTCCCCTTCTTTAAAATTAACTCTGTTATTGTCACCAACTGCTCTGTGGTGAGGCCCATTAACACTGTTTGTCTGAGGGCTTCTATTCCTAGGAACAAATCATTCGCTCACCTTCATGTCAAAACAACGATGCGTTTTGATCCAAGCTATTTTACATTTACGCATTTACAGTAAGGACTTGCATAAGCTTTAAAAGAATAGCCCAATTGCTAAGCTGTGGTTGAGTGCGGCTCTGCAGCCTTCTCGTGAAACATACTGTACTGTATATAGTTTAGAACAAATAGCCAGAAGCCTTAAAGCCAGGGGGAAAAAAGGAAAATAAACAGTGTTTTAACCATTGTTCAGTGGTTTTCATGCCTGATTTGGTAGGTAAAGGTTATCAAAAGTCAGTTCAAGTGTGCTTAGAAAGCACAATGACATCTCTCAACTCCCTTGGCAGGCATCTCATGAAGGGGAGCAGGTTATAGGAGGCCAAAATTAGAAACCCCATCTTTGGTAAATGAACTGATTAGTGTCATCCTGTGTCTTTGCTGCCCACAGCAAGAATGGCTGAAGTTTTTGTCCTGGGTGTCATACTTAAAGTACTATCTGAGGACTCCCAAATCACGCTGCTGTCTGCACTCCTCTCAGGGCTCAGAATGTCCTGCCTCTTATTGCACAAATTTGTGTGTCAACCTCACCTCTTTTACCGAGCTTTAAGTCCTTAGAGGTCAGAATTTTGGATGCTCACAGTCCCCTGCATGTAGCAGAAAATAGTTGCTGAATAAATATTTGTTGATTGAATGGATGGATAATTGACACTGCTCACACAGGAGTCAGGGGAAAAAAATCTCTCCACCATAGGTCCAGTGGGCTATTATAATCTGTCCCAACTCATAAAGACACTGGCTACAGGATTGCAAATTAGATTCTACTAAAAGGAAAAGGAAGCACATTACTCTTAAATGAAAGTTTTGCTAAATTCCTCATTCATTAATTCAACATAATTTGTTGAATTCTTAGCATCTGCTAGGCATCATTTCAGGCTCTTGAGATTTGTGAATGGTCATTACGATTCATACAGTTGTGGAGCTTACATTCTAGTTCAAGCAGTCAGATAATAATAAGCATAATAAGTAATTTGAGTAGTGTGCTGGAATGGGACACATGCAATAAAAACAATGAAGCAGAAGAAATGAGATTGGGGTACTAGGGGTAGAATTTGGGTACAGATAGGCCTCAATATTATTTTATTTATTTCTTATTTTAGAGGCAAGGTCTTGCTCTGTCACCCAGGCTGGAGTGCAGTGGCACCATCATAGCTCACTGCAGCCTTGATCTCCTGGGCTCAAGCAATCCTCCCACTTCAGCCTCCCAAGCAGCTGGGACTACAGGTGTGTGCCACTATGCCCTGCTAATTTTAATTTTCTTTTATAGAGACGGGATCTCGCTACATTGCCCAGGCTGGTCTTGAACTCCTGGCTGCCAGTGATTCTTCTGCCTTGCCTTCCCAAGGTGCTGGGATTACAGGCCTGAGCCACCACTTTGCATGGCTGGTTTCATTTTTAAATAATGTCAGCAGGGTAGGCCTCATTGAGATGACAGCATTTGGGAAAAGACTTGAAGTCAGTGTGGAAGTTGCCATGTGGCTGTGAGAAGGGCATTCAAGGCATGGAACTGCCTGAGCAAAGGACCTAGGTTGGGAGCATGCCGAAGTGTCCCAGTAACTGCCAGGAGGACACCTGGATTGAGGCAAATAATGGGAGTGTAGCAGGAACCAAAGTCAGACAGGTAGTGGAGTGGCTGATTCAGGGTTTGGCAGACAATCATAAGGCCTTTGACTTAAGCTGAGTGAGAGAGTTAATTTAATTCACTCCCTCCTTTGTACTTGGAACTCCCATAACACATTTATACCTATCCAGCAGGTCTTCAAATAATGTCGTTTTGTTTAATGTTGTTTCATTAAAATGTTGAGAGAAAACAATCAATTTCCGGCCAGGAACATGGTCTGTGTGCAGTTTGCACATTCTCCCCACGTCTGTGTGGGTTTTCTCCGGGTCCTCTGGTTTCCTCCCATATCCCAAAGCTTTGCATCTTTGGTTAATTCGTGTGTCTACATGGTGCCAGTCTGGGTGAGAGTGTGTGTGTGTGTGTGTAGTTGTGCCCTGCAATGGGATGGCATCCTTTCCAGTGTGGGTTCCTGCCTGGCACCCTGAGCTGCCAGAATAGGCTCTGGCTACCCACAATGCAAACTGGAATAATTAGATAAATAATTATTTTACTTGTTTTTATTAGTCTTTTAAAAATGTATGTATAGCTCACATTTATGTCCATGTTTGATATTAGAAGTGTTTTTGATCTTTATTTGGAAGTTTGATGATATTTGTGGGACCAGAAATAATGCCATAGGAACTTAATTCTTGTTTATATCTATTAGTCTATTGGTAAATTGGTTTTGTTATACACCATTTTGCTTAAAGTTGCAGTTTCCAAGAACCTATTCACAATGTTAGGTGAGGACCTACTGTATTTATTTCAGCAAGCAACACATCACATTTCCCCTGTTAGGCTCTTAGGTTCTCAATGTTATTTTCTAATATTGTTCTTCTCTGGCCCAGAGAATGAATGCACATTATAAACATTCCATTACTGTTTGTTGAATTGAAATATAACACAAGTCACAGTAGCAGGAATCACACAATGTTGTAAAATAAACATACCCCAAGTCACAGGTAGTTTAGGAGGCAAATGAGTTGATTTAAGAATGTGCTGCATACTTGAGCCATAGGCTAATATTTTTCTTCTGAAATTCACTGTTGCTTTTGTTTCGTGCAGTTTCCTCACCACCCTCTGTTGGCTGCTCCTACAGTCAACTGCAGTGCTGACGTTGACACTACCCTTCTCTCTAGGGTAGCTTTGGTGATTAAGCTACTGGTCTCATGAGCTAGGCCTCTTGATCACAACCACGGATGCACGTTGTAGTCACAGGACAGCATCTGTAAAATCTTAGTGCCTTGGCCTCCTCATAGAGCAGTTGAACCAGAAGTTCCGAAGGTGAGACTCAGGCATAAGTATATTTTAAAAATTCCTCAGGTCATTATCATGTCAAGCCAGGGTAGAGAATCATTGATCTAAGGCTGTTCTAAGACTTTCAGAGGTGGGCCAAGCTTTCCATGAAAATTTGAACTACAACAAAGAAAATATGGAAAATTTCCACCCAAATCTGTTGATTCCTGTCTGTGACTCAGCTTTTGTATCGTGGTGGCAGCTCAAGGGTGTCTTGTTATGTTTATATAGGTGCATGTGTGTTGGTGAAAGGAGAGAGGTTTGAAGGTTACCTGTTTTCCAGGATAGCAATGTGTTTGTAAATCAGCCCACCTGCAATACATATGCTGAATCAGGAGCCAGTTCCTAGGTTTTCTCAGACAGGAACACACAGCTGGCTGGTCCAGTCAAGGTGAACATCCATTCCGGGAAGCAGTTGTACTGGCCATGTATCCCCATGGATGAATGAAACTACCTTTCATCCCAACTGGGTGCTCCCCATAGGTTGAGGACTCCTCCTTCATGGTTTAACACATTCAAGTCTTGCAGTTGGGAAGGCATGCTTATGGCCCCCATTGGGCAACCCGTGCATTGTCCGATCGCCTAGGGCTTAGGTGTAAAGTGCCGGCTTCTCCAGTGTAGCTGATCCTCAGCAGCCCTGTGATCCTGCTTTCCTTTAACCTAGGTGTGAGCGCTGGTGGTCTTCGTTGCCAGCCTTGGTCATGTATACATTTTCTCCTCACAAAATTGTAAAGCAAGTCTTTCAACATATTGGGGAATAGATCTTGCTTTTTAAATATACTCATTGTCTACACAATTCTCAGGGCCAGAATAAGACAAGCCCTGTAAGGCTTTCTGAATGTGTGATGAATTTAATGATGTCACATCTTCATTTCCCCTTTATTTGTTTTTTACTGAATACTTCTGGAGTATCTACTGTGTACTATACTACATCCTGGGAGCACAAGCTGAGTAAGACTCTATTCCTTCAGCTCACATTCTAGACAAGCAAATGGACACATACACAGATAATCAGCACACAATACAGGAGCTTACCAGGCATGGAGAGATGAGAAGTAGACGGAGGGCCTTTCAAGCCTATGAACACCATGAATTCAAAGTCAGGGAGTTAGGAAAATGCATCAGGGTTTGGAGAGCAAATGTATTTTTGAAATAGAGGAAGTAGAGGGGATGGTGGTGGAGGTGAGGCTGGAAGCATAGGTTGGGATTATAGTATAAAACATCTTTGTGACACGTTAGAGAATTTGAATTTGATTCTGAGAAGCTAAGGTGGGGTAAATGAAAAAAAAGAAATACTTGAACTTTGTGGTTAGAAAAACCTGATAGAATTCTAGCTCTGCCACTTACTCATTATATAATATTGTGCTAATGATTAGAACTAGCACAGTCTCTGTTCATTGTCTGTAAAAATAAACATAACACCTAGCTTGCAGGGTTAGTATGAGGGCTACATGAGACAGTGCTCATGACAGTACAGACAGCTGCATGGTAGGTTTTAGAGCTATGTCATCTAACACAAGAGTCACTAGTCACATGTGGCTTCCTAAATTAATTAAAATTAAATAAAATTTAAAGAGTGGCTTTCTGGTATGTGCTAGCTACATTTCAAGTGCACAATAGCCATATGTAGCTAGTGGCTGTCATACTTGAAAGCCCTGATAGGGAACATTGACATCACAGAGAATTCTATTAAACAACACTGCTCTAGAAGGATGTTTCCTTGTCTTCCTGAAAGCATCAGCATCTTAACTGATGTAGTTAATCTGTTGATAGTATGTGCTATGTTGTATTATATTAAAAAGTTATTCTTTAAAATAATACTTGGAAATGGGCTCAGATCAAAACTGAGTTTCCCTCTGAGATGTCAGTCAAGAGCTCGTATACAGCTCTGTGCTGTCATGCACATGCCACCCTCAGCTCTCTCTTGAGGCCATGCTGCCTACCCTGGCTCCCTGACTCTAGGGTTGGAATTATACTTGGTTTTATTGGACATGGCTGGAAAACTGCTCCAGACCTGAGACACACATGTTTCCCCGGATAACTTACCCTGGGATGTGACCTGTATTCGCTATGAGATTGCCTGTAGGAGTGACTCATGCCATTTCAAATAACAGCTTAATTCATCCTGTTCCCTTTACTAAGGTTTTGTAACCCAGAACATCAGGGATGATGGCCATTTCTGGTGACAGGTAGACACCTGTACTGAATTTTCAATTCAATTCAACTTAGATCACTTTCCCAGAAAGAGTATATTAACTTCCAGTTTCTACTTAACTTGAGTTTTGCTCAGGGAGTTATAGCTGAACTTATAAGTACAGGTTCTTTTACTATGAAACAGTTATTTTCAAGATTAAAAAATTTAGGGGGACTGTTTGGAGGATTGAAGGTGTAAAACTTGGTTGGTAAATTAAAATAAATAAGTAAATAAAGGTTTCCTTAATCACCTTGGAGAAAAAGAAGGGTTCTTGCTGACAATTGTATCATGGTACTACATTGCTATGTAATTTATTTTGTACATATAATTGACTTTTACTTTGGAAGCAAGAAAGCCACATGGAAATGTTAAAAAGAAGCCAAGTGAGAGATCAGCTGAGAGAAATTAAATCCATCAATATGCAAATATAATAAAGGGAAGGGAAACTGGCATTTATTGAGGGGTATATGCAAATGTAGTAAGTTGCCAGAAGGGAAGTTCTTTGCATTCTGCAGTGACTTGGGGGAATTTTGAAGAATTGGCAGAGCTTTAACTGGCTATGAAAAGTAGTTGGAATGAAGGCAAAAAGTGGGGAGGGATTTTAGATGGAGAAGAGGTACAAAGTTGTAGAGATGGAAATGCACCTATCCTCTTTAATGGGAAGTGAATAGGCCATTGAACACAAACTGCAGTATGTGGATGAGAAATAATTGGAAAGTAAGTTTAGATGCTCAGCCTAGACTAGGTAAGAAGGGGCAGACCTTGAATAATACAGTAATCATTAAACATAAATTTGTTTATTGCATACTTTGGGTCAGGCAATGAGCTAAAACATTTTTTGACATACATTATTGAATTTAATCTTGACAACAATCCAGTGAAGTACGTATTATCAATCACATTTTACAGATGAGGCAACTTAAATTTAGAGAGGTTAAATAGTCTTCCCAAGGCTAAAGTTTTGGGAGACAATTCTTCCTGGGTTTCTTGCATTTCTGTACATCTTGACAGCAGGGCCACTGACTGCATTTGTTCTGGACCACATTTTTCATGGATATTTGCATAGAAAATAGCTTTGAAAGATAGAGATCATGTCTCCTTCTGAAGCAAAAGGCAGGTTTATTTATAGTTTGGCATCATGAGATAATGTGTCCATCTAGAGCCAAGTATGAGCAGGCTTACTGTCCATTATAAAAGATTCAGTTTGCCTGAATACAGGGTTCCTCTCCTATAGTGTTACCTACTGTATGTGTGTATAGGAGTCACCTGACCCTTTTACATTGCCCTGTGGAAACTGAGGCTTGGGGAAGTGGTGTGAGTGGTCACACTTCAGGTACTTACTGCTATTGCTATAAGTAACAAAATACTTTGTCTCTGACCTAGGAGTTTTGTATCTTCTAGTATTTATGAAACTGTGGCAAACCAACTTGTTAACTTGCAAATAGGCTAATTTCTCAGACCATTCATAGTTCTTAACTTAAATGGTGAAACAACCTTAAAACGCTTCAGAAATCAACTATTAGGTGACAAGGGCCTGTACTAGAATGGTTTGAAAGGAACAAAATTGATGCTAGAAGTACAAAGGAAGAAATAGAAAGGACAAAACAAGGTTTGGACAGAATATTTTGGGATGGAGTGTTGGGTAAGAAGTGGTCAGAAATTATAAGGTTAAAGGAGATATGAAAATTCTGAGCTTGAGAGATGAATACGGAAATTAATAAACTGGTTCTTGGAAGAATGGGTGGCAGCTTGTTTTGTGCTTTTAGAATTTTACTTCTCTGAAGTTAAAAACTGGATATTTAAAAATTCTCTGCATAGGATTTTAACAGAGAAAACATGCATAAAATATATCAACTAGATCTCCCCTTTCCTCACTTATTCTCAAATCTGTGAGTTAGAGCTGTTGAGAGGACCTGGAAAGTAGCTGCTTATGGTTGGCATCTGTGTGTGTGTGAGGTTGCAGAGGGGAAGAGAAGAGAGTGGTTGGGGCAATGGCCCAGGTGCTTTTGAGGCCATGTCAAGACATTCTCAGGCTGGCTGTAGGCTGTGTCTCACTCCTAAGGAGAGCGCTTGGCTCCTAAGCACTGTTTTTTTTGTGTGTTTTTTTTTTTTTTTTTTTTTGGCAAAAACACCACTGAAGCTATGCTGGGTGAATGCTTTACTTTTTAAATTTTTCTCTGTTTTTTTAATTTTAACAGCTTCTCACTCTTTTGCCCAGGCTGGGATACAGTGGCGCGATCTCGGCTCACTGCAACCACCAC